>NC_000002.12:27215370-27368121 GCF_000001405.40 Homo sapiens | reverse complement strand
CCACCCAGCCATGGTGCGACTCGGCCTGCAGTACTCCCAGGGCCTGGTCAGTGGCTCCAATGCCCGGTGTATTGCCCTGCTTCGTGCCTTGCAGCAGGTATGTCCCATCCTGTTCTCTCTTATGATCCAACCCCACCTCCCCCAATACTACCCCAGCTTCTGTCACCCAAGGTCATCTCTGGGGGACAGAGGGAATACTCCTACCCTCAGAACATTTTCCTCAGTGAAGCTTACCCCCAGCCCCCGTTCAGAGATCTTTATTAAGGGGTATTTTGCAGATCACCTTGTGTACCCTATAGGTGATTCAGGATTACACAACACCGCCTAATGAAGAACTCTCCAGGGATCTAGTGAATAAACTAAAACCCTACATGAGGTAGGGACAACACTATAAGTCCACTCCCAGCTCGCCCAATCTTTGTCTTGTACTCTTTTTCCTGCTTTTCTATCTCTCTTTTCATTTTGTGTTCTATTTTCTTTTTAAAGACTTTTTTTTTAAATGTGAAGGCTTTGTAAGTTGTGAAGAGTTGCGCAGATATAAGGTATTGCTGTTGTATTATAGCTTCCTGACTCAGTGCCGTCCCCTGTCAGCGAGCATGCACAACGCCATCAAGTTCCTTAACAAGGAAATCACCAGTGTGGGCAGTTCCAAGCGGGAAGAGGAGGTGATGAGTATGAGAAATAAGGAAGGCATGCACCTGTGGGTAAAATTAAGAAACATGTTAAAAACTCCCGGGAAGGCCAACGTAAGCCTTTTTTTGCCCTAGTCAAGGGTTAAGGAATGGTTTGGCCATTCTGACTTGTGCCATCTCTGAGCCCTCTATAGGCTTGTCATCATACACATATTCAAGCACCTGGCATGATCATCAGAGGGATAAAAGTGTCCATTTCTTGTTCACTAAGGATTTTACTCCATTTAGGCCAAGTCAGAACTTCGAGCAGCCATTGATCGGTATGTGCAAGAGAAGATTGTGCTAGCAGCTCAGGCAATTTCACGCTTTGCTTACCAGAAGATCAGTAATGGAGATGTGATCCTGGTATATGGATGGTATGGTCCAGACCTTGTGACTGAGCAGATTGGGAGTTGGAATGATCTGAAGAAGGGACTACCCACTTGCCTTTGGGAATAAGTTAGTCATCAGTTACTGACATTTATAACTGAATCCTCCTCTTCATTCACTCTAGCTCATCTCTGGTATCACGAATTCTTCAGGAGGCTTGGACAGAGGGCCGGCGGTTTCGGGTGGTAGTGGTGGACAGCCGGCCATGGCTGGAAGGAAGGCACACACTACGTTCTCTAGTCCATGCTGGTGTCCCAGCCTCCTACCTGCTGATTCCTGCAGCCTCCTATGTGCTCCCAGAGGTAAGTACAGAGGAAAAGGACTCCAAAGTTGGCGGTGAAAAGGTGTAGTAGTATAGACATAATCTCACCTTCCCAAAGTTACAGTTTTGTTTTTGTTTTGAGATAAGGATGGAGTGCAGCGACGTGATCACAGCTCACTGCAGTCTTGACCTCCTGGGCTCAGGTGATCTTCCCACCTCCGCCTCTGAGTAGCTGGGACTACTGGTGTGTGCCACCATGCCCAGCTAGTTTTTTATTTTTCTTGTAGAGATGGGATATCGCTACATTGCCCAGGCTGGAACTCCTGGGCTCAAGCAGTTCCCCCTGTCTCGGCCTCCCAAAGTACTGGGATCATAGGCATGAGCCACTGTGCCCAGCCACAATTATTTAAAAATATTAGAATTATATAGCCCTGGCTTGGTGCCATGGCTCAATGCCTGCAATCTCAGCACTAAGGCAGGAGGATCACTTGAGCCCAGGAGTTCAAGACCAGCCTGCTCAACATAATGAGACCCTGTACACACACACACACACACACACACACACACACACACACACACACACCCCACCCCACCCCCACCCCGGGCATGGTGGCATGCGCATGTAGTTCCAGCTACTTAGGCTGAGGTGAGAGGACTGCTTGAGTGCGTGCGCGCGCGCACGCACACACACACACACACACACAGCTACTTAGGAGGCTGAGGTGAGAGGACTGCTTGAACACACACACACACACACACACCCGGGCATGGTGGCATGCGCATGTAGTTCCAGCTACTTAGGAGGCTGAGGTGAGAGGACTGCTTGAGCCCAGGAGGTTGAGGCTACAGTGAGCTGTCATTGCACCACTGCACTCCAGCCTGGGTGACAGAATGAAACCCTGTGTCAAAAAAAATAATTATATAGCTCTGTTTCTATTTAATTGGAAAAACACTGACAGTATATTACAGCAGTCTAGCTATTGCAAAAACATTACATTAAACTAGCAACCAGGAAGAGGGAACAAGACAAAAGTAACTTCAAAGTTTACTTTTCCTGTGGGAGATTTGGTGGGTCAGTGGTCAGGTGTTTTCACAGAAGAAAAGCCATCATTAAGATTTATTAGGCCGGGCACAGTGGCTCAAGCCTGTAATTCCAGCACTTTGGGAGGCCGAGGAGGGCAGTTCACGAGGTCAGGAGTTCACAATCATCCTGGCTAACACAGTGAAACCCCGTCTCTACTAAAAATACAAAAAATTAGCCGGGCGTGGTGGTGGGCGCCTGTAGTCCCAGCTAATCTGGAGGCTGAGTCAGGAGAATGGCGTGAACCCAGGAGGCAGAGCTTGCAGTGAGCCGAGATCATGCCACTGCACTCCAGCCTGGGCGACAGAGCGAGACTCCATCTCAAAAAAAAAAAAAAAAAGGATTTATTAATTGCCGGACTCAGTGGCTCACGCCTGTTATCCTGGCACTTTGGGTGGCTGAGGCGGGCAGATCACCTGAGGTTGGGAGTTCGAGACCAGCCTGACCAACGTGGAGAAACCCCGTCTCTACTAAAAATATAAAAATACAACAAATCAGCTGGGAGTGGTGGTGCATGCCTGTAATCCCAGCTACTCGGGAGGCTGAGGCAGGAGAATCACTTGAACCCAGGAGGCAGAGGTTGTGGTGAGCCGAGATCGCGCCATTGCACTCCAGCCTGGGCAACAAGAGCAGAACTTCATCTCAAAGAAAAAAAAAAAAAAGATTTATTACTTGTTGTCTGTTTTTGTTTCTTTCCCTTCTTTTCACAGGTGTTGAGATTTATTACTTGTCTTAATGTTGCTGTCCTGTAAGTAGGGGACCTTATTTTGCATTGATACAACAATGACATTTTTTTCTTCCTCTTCTCCTGTGAAACAGGTTTCCAAGGTGCTATTGGGAGCTCATGCACTCTTGGCCAACGGGTCTGTGATGTCACGGGTAGGGACAGCACAGTTAGCCCTGGTGGCTCGAGCCCATAATGTACCAGTGCTGGTTTGCTGTGAAACATACAAGTTCTGTGAGCGTGTGCAGACTGATGCCTTTGTCTCTAATGAGCTAGGTAAGGAGGCAAAAGAGAAGCCTCCAGCTACCTGTGAAGACTTGAGAGGGAGGGAGAGGGGCGGATAAACTAGAACTTCTTTTCTGAAAGAACATAATGGGTACGCCTTCCATTGCAGATGACCCTGATGATCTGCAATGTAAGCGGGGAGAACATGTTGCGCTGGCTAACTGGCAGAACCACGCATCCCTACGGTTGTTGAATCTAGTCTATGATGTGACTCCCCCAGAGCTTGTGGATCTGGTGATCACGGAGCTGGGGATGATCCCTTGCAGTTCTGTACCTGTTGTTCTACGAGTCAAGAGCAGTGACCAGTGACGGGGGAAACACAGGGTTAATAAATGCCATACTCCCTACCCTCAGCAACTCTGCTGCCTTTGTTTCTCTTTTAGCATCTCCACCACTTAAGTTAGGAGTCCAGACTTCACAACCCCTTTTATCACCTGCTACTCAGACCTTTGTGAAGACCTGCTCAAGTAACTAGCTCCATGCCAGTACATTGGGACTAACCTGAAGACCCGTATAAAGAACCAAAACTACCCAAATCAATCATTCACTGAGCATCTACATGCCAGACACTAAACTGGGTGTGAGGAGGAATATGAAAACAAATAGTCCTGGGCTGAGTGCAGTGACTCATTCCTGTAATCTCAGCATTTTGGGAGGCTAAGGCAGGAGGATTGTTTGAGCCCAGAGGTTTGAGACCAGCCTGGGCAACATGGCAATCCGGTCTCTACAAAAAATAAAAATTAGCTGGGCATGGTTGTGCTCATCTGTTGTTCCAGCTACTCAGGAGGCTGAAGCCAGAGGATTGCTTGAGTCCAGGAGGTAGAGGCTGCAGTAAGCCATGATTGTGCCGCTGCACTCCAGCCTGGGTGACAGAGTGAGACCCTGTCTCAAAAAGAGAGTCCTAACCTTATAAATTAGCATTTGTTGAATATTTAACTGTGTGTCAGAAACTGTTCTGAACCCTTTCTTACCCATTTAGGAAGATTAATACAACTCTATGAAGGCTGGGCGCAGTGGCTCATTTGGGAGGCCGAGGCAGGCAGATCACCTCAGGTCAAGAGTTCAAGACCAGCCTGGCCAACATGATGAAACCCTGTCTCTACACTAAATACAAAAATTAGCTGGGCGTGGTGGCGCATGCCTGTAATCCCAGCTACTCCAGAGGCTGAGGCAGAAGAATCGCTTGAACCCAGGAGATGGAGATTGCAGTGAGCTGAGATGGCACCATTGCACTCCAGCCTGGGCAACAAAGCGAGGCTCCATCTCTAAAAATAAAAATAATAATACAACTCTATGAAGTAAATGCGATTTTACAGATGAGATAATGGAAGCATAGAAAGGTTAAGTTGCTTGCCCAAGGCAACACAGCTCAGACACAGAAAGGTTAAGTTACTTACCCAAGGCAGACAGAGAGATGAAGTTACTTGCCCTAGGTAACACAGCTAGTCAGTAGCTAAACCAGGATGTGACCTCAGGCAGTCTGGATCTAGAAACTGTGCCCTTAACTTTTGTGCTATATTCCCTTAAGGAACGCTTACCATGGCATAAGAAGATAGTATCTACAGTATGAGGTAACCCAGTAGTAGTATGAACAAAAGATTGGTGAAAACTTACAAGTCACATCTAACCTAGTCCTTGAAAGATAAGTAATTGCCCAGTTAGGGAAGAAAAAAAAAGAAGAAACAGCTTGAACACAAAGAATAGGCCTTAAAGTGAGTGGCCAATGTAAAAGTGTCACATAGTATAGTGAGGCTAGAACTGAGTCTTATTGTTGAGTGATCAAACTGCAAAGGTAAGTTGGGGCCAGACTGTGAGTCCAACCACTGGTTAGCTTAAAATGAAGAGTTATCTATTGGGTATATATGTGTGTTATTGAATTTTTTTTTTTTTGAGAAAGAGTCACTCGTCTCCCAGGCTGGAGTGCAATGGCACTATCTCGGCTCACTGCAACCTCTGCCTTCTGGGTTCAAGCAATTCTCCTGCCTCAGCCTCCCAAGTAGCTGGGATCACAGGTGCCTGCCACCACACTTAGCTAATTTTTGTATTTTTAGTAGAGACGGGGTTTCACCATGTGGGTCAGGCTGGTCTTGAACTCTTGACCTCAAGCAATCCACCTGCCTTGGCCTCCCAAAGTGCTGGGATTACAGGCGTGAGCCACTGCACCCAACCATTTTATCAAATTTTTTTTTTATACTTTAAGTTCTACAGTACATGTGCGCAATGTGCAGGTTTGTTACATAGGTATACATATGCCATGTTGGTTTTATCAAACATTTTTAAGCAGCGTAAAAGTAGAACTATACAAAGAATCTCCATGACCAGATGCAACAGTTATCAAATTTGCCACATTTACTTTCTCTTTTTGTTGTTTTTCTTTTTTCTTTTTTTTTTTTTTTTTTTTGAGACAGAGTTTCGCTCTTGTTGCCCAGGCTGGAGTGCAATGGTGCAATCTTGGCTCACTGCAACCTCCGCCTCCTGGATTCAAGCGATTCCCCTGCCTCAGCCTCTCGAGTAGCTGGGATTATGGGCATGTGCCACCATACCCAGCTAATTTTGTATTTTTAGTAGAGATGGGGGTTTCTCCATGTTGGTCAGGCTGGTCTTGAACTCCCGACCTCAGGTGATCCGCCCGCCTCAGCGTCCCAAGGTGTTGGGATTACAGGCGTGAGCCACAGCACTCAGCCTTCTTGTTTTTCCTTGATGAAGTTACTTTAAATCAAATCCAAGCATTATATCATTTCACTCCTTTAACTTCAATGTCTCTTAAGAAATATGGAAATTTACCATAATATCACTTATTAAATCATACTTTCTTAGTATTCAATCCATAATCAAATTTCCTTGGCTGAAAAATGACTTAGTTTGACTCAAGATCCAAACAAATCCACACATTACATTTGGTTACATTTTTTAAAAAGCAGTCTCCTCAGCCGGGCGCGGTGGCTCACGCCTAATCCCAGCACTTTGGGAGGCCGAGGCGGGCAGTTCACGAGGTCAGGAGATGGAGACCATCCTGGCTAACACAGTGGAACCCCATCTCTACTAAAAATACAAAAAATTAGCCAGGCGTGGTGGCGGGCGCCTGTAGTCCCAGCTACTCGGGAGGCTGAGGCAGGAGAATGGCGTGAACCCGGGAGGTGGACCTTGCAGTGAGCAGAGATCTTGCCACTGCACTCCAGCCTGGGCGACAGAGTGAGACTCTGTCTCAAACAAACAAACAAACAAACAAACAAAAAAAAAAAAAAAAGAGCAGTCTCCTATCCCCTTTTTACATTGACATTGGCTTACAGAAGCCATGTTGATTGTCATATGAAATGTTCTGCATTCTAGATTTGACTGTTTGCTTTCTTATGTTGTCATTTCACTCATTCCCTATGTCCTGTATTTCTTTTTTTTTTATTTGAGATGGAGTCTTGCTCTGTTGCCCAGGCTGGAGTGCAATGGCACGATTTCAGCTCACTGCAACCTCTGCCTCCCAGGTTCAAGTGATTCTCCTGCCTTAGCCTCCCGAGTAGCTGGGACTACAGGTGTGCGTCACCACATCCAGCTAATTTTCTTTTGTATTTTTAGTAGAGACAGGGTTTCACCACATTGGCCAGGCTGGTCTTGAACTCCTGACCTCAGATTATCCGCCCTCCTTGGCCTCCCAAAGTGCTGGGATTACAGGTGTGAGCCACCACGCCTGGCCCCTAAGTCCTGTATTCCTATTCAATTTTTTGGGCAAGAATGTTTAATAAGTGGTTCTGTGTGCTTTATATTGCCTCACATCAGGAGGCAAACAATGACTGGTGGTTTCATGTTCAGTGATGAGTGGGTCCAGGCATTTTAAAGCTTCCTAAAAGCTCTTTAGGGATTTCATCCACTGGTGATTGTTGCCTGAATTATTTCACTGGGACATGCAAAATAGTGATTTTTTTCTATCATTCTTTGCACAATTACTAGCTGTTAATCTATAAAAAAAAAAAAAAATCCCGGGCTGGGCAATGGCTCACACCCGTAATCCCAGCACGTTGGGAGGCTTAGGTGTGCGGATCACCTGAGGTCAGGAGTTCAAGACCAGCCTCGCCAACATGGTGAAACCCCGTCTCTACTAAAAAAATACAAAAATTAGCCGGGAGTGGTGGCGGGCGCCTGTAATCCCAGCTACTCAGGAGGCTGAGGCACAAGAATTGCTTGAACCTGGGAGGCAGAGGTTGCAGTGAGCCGAGATCGCGCCACTGCACTCCAGCCTGGGCGACAGAGTGAGACTCAGTCTCAAAAAACAAACAAAACCTTCCTCTCATCAGTTATTTTGAACTAGAGTTCATACTGGAAAGACAAGATAAATGCCTTACTCTTGCCTTTTTTTTTTTTTTGCCAATTTTCAGGAATTGGTCACTACTTTCTTTTTTTCTTTCTTTTTTTTTTTTTTTTTTAGAGCTTAATGAGTTTTTTTTATTTTTTTATTTTTTTATTTTTTAATTTATTTTTTTATTGCTAATTCTTGGGTGTTTCTCACAGAGGGGGATTTGGCAGGGTCATGGGACAACAGTGGAGGGAAGGTCAGCAGATAAACAAGTGAACAAAGGTCTCTGGTTTTCCTAGGCAGAGGACCCTGCGGCCTTCCGCAGTGTTTGTGTCCCTGATTACTTGAGATTAGGGATTGGTGATGACTCTTAACGAGCATGCTGCCTTCAAGCATCTGTTTAACAAAGCACATCTTGCACCGCCCTTAATCCATTTAACCCTGAGTGGACACAGCACATGTTTCAGAGAGCACAGGGTTGGGGGTAAGGTCACAGATCAACAGGATCCCAAGGCAGAAGAATTTTTCTTAGTGCAGAACAAAATGAAAAGTCTCCCATGTCTACTTCTTTCTACAGAGACACGGCAACCATCCGATTTCTCAATCTTTTCCCCACCTTTCCCGCCTTTCTATTCCACAAAGCCGCCATTGTCATCCTGGCCCGTTCTCAATGAGCTGTTGGGCACACCTCCCAGACGGGGTGGTGGCCGGGCAGAGGGGCTCCTCACTTCCCAGTAGGGGCGGCCGGGCAGAGGCGCCCCTCACCTCCCGGACGGGGCGGCTGGCCGGGCAGGGGGCTGACCCCCCCACCTCCCTCCCGGACGGGGCGGCTGGCCGGGCGGGGGGCTGACCCCCCACCTCCCTCCCGGACGGGGTGGCTGCCGGGCGGAGATGCTCCTCACTTCCCAGATGGGGTGGCTCCTCACTTCTCAGACGGGGCGGCCGGGCAGAGACGCTCCTCACCTCCCAGACGGGGTCGCGGCCGGGCAGAGGCGCTCCTCACATCCCAGATGGGGCGGCGGGGCAGAGGCGCTCCCCACATCTCAGACGATGGGCGGCCGGGCAGAGACGCTCCTCACTTCCTAGATGTGATGGCGGCTGGGAAGAGGCACTCCTCACTTCCTAGATGGGATGGCGGCCGGGCGGAGACGCTCCTCACTTTCCAGACTGGGCAGCCAGGCAGAGGGGCTCCTCACATCCCAGACGATGGGCGGCCAGGCAGAGACACTCCTCACTTCCCAGACGGGGTGGCGGCTGGGCAGAGGCTGCAATCTCGGCACTTTGGGAGGCCAAGGCAGGCGGCTGGGAGGTGTAGGTTGTAGCGAGCCGAGATCACGCCACTGCACTCCAGCCTGGGCACCATTGAGCACTGAGTGAACGAGACTCCGTCTGCAATCCCGGCACCTCGGGAGGCCGAGGCTGGCGGATCACTCGCGGTTAGGGGCTGGAGACCGGCCCGGCCAACACAGCGAAACCCCGTCTCCACCAAAACCAGTCAGGCGTGGCAGCGCGTGCCTGCAATCGCAGGCACTCGGCAGGCTGAGGCAGGAGAATCAGGCAGGGAGGTTGCAGTGAGCCGAGATGGCAGCAGTACAGTCCAGCTTCGGCTCCACATGAGAGGGAGACCATGGAAAGAGAGGGAGACCGTGGGTAGAGGTAGAGGTAGAGAGGTAGAGAGGTAGAGAGGTGGAGGTAGAGGTAGAGCAGTTTAATGGTCACTACTTTCAATGGTGTAGGATGAGTAGCTGATATTTTGGCTTTTACTTTTTTTAAAAGATCATTATCAATACATGGATTTCTATATTTTGAACATACTACTTAATCATCAAAATTAAGCAGAGGATCAACAGGGTTGCTTTATGCTTTAGAAAGATAACCGGGCCAGGCATGGCAACTCACACCTGTAATCCCAGCACTTTGGGAGGCATAGGCAGGAGGATCGCTTGCGCTCAGTAGTGTGAGACCTGCCTGGGCAATATAGCAAGACCTCATCTCTATTAAACAACAACAACAAAAAAACCTGGAAGTGGTGGTATACACCTGCCACACACCCCAACTATTCAGGAGGCTGAGGTGGCAGGTTGAGGCTGCAGTGAGCCGTGATTGCACCACTGTCCTCCAGCCTGGGTGACAGAGCAAGACCCTGTCTCAAAACAAACAAACAAACAAACAAACACCTAGTAGAAATTAGAGGCAGAGAAGTAGATCAGTGAAAAGATTGGTTATAAATCAAAATTACAAATGCACCTAAAACTTTGGTTCACAATTCCACTTCTAGAAATTATCCTACCCATATAGTTACACATTTGAAGTAATTTAGATGCAAGGTTACTTATAGCAGTGTGATTTATAATAGCAAGGGACCATTGTTTATAACAGCAAAACCATGTAAATATGCATCAATATCAACAAGGCACTAGTTATACCACATCCACCCAATTAAATGCTAACTAGTTATAGCACAGAATGAGAAAGGTTTTTGTGTACAGAAATGGAATAATGGCCAAACTCAGTGACTTACACCTGTGATCGCAGCACTATGGGAGGCTGAGGCAAGAGGATCACTTCAGGTCAGGTGTTCAAGACCAGCCTGGTCAACATAACGAGACCCCATCTCTAGAAAAAATTAAAAAATTAGGCCGGGCGCGGTGGCTCATGCCTGTAATCCCAGCACTTTGGGAGGCTGAGGCAGGCGTATCACAAGGTCAGGAGTTCGAGACCAGCCTGGCCAACATAGTGAAACCCCTTCTCTACTAAAAAGACAAAAATTATCCGGGCTTGGTGGCGGGCGCCTGTAATCTCAGCTACTCGGGAGGCTGAGGCAGGACAATTGCTTGAACCCGGGAGGCGGAGTTTGCAGTGAGCCGAGATCGCGCCACTGCACTCCAGCCTGGGGACAGAGCAAGACTCCATCTCAGGAAAAAATAAAAATAAAAATAAAAACGGGGTCTCACTATGTTGCCCAGGCTGGTATCGAATTCCTGGGCTCAAGTGATCCTCCCCCGCCTTGGCCTCCCAAAGTGCTGGGATTACAGACAGGAGCTACCATACCCAGCCAAAGTCATGCTTTTCTACTCCTACTCCTTCCCTTCCTTGTCCTCTTTCCAAGCTCTCTCGGGCCCATCCCTGACTTCACTACTGGCAGAATCCTCCAGCGGCCGGCGGCGAGGACTTCTTTGTCTCCCAGACTCCGCCTTGGGCTCGGACGCCGCCAGGGTTGCAGGTACAGACTCTCTGGTCTAGCTGGCTCTTCCGGCCACAGGCGCGGCAGTCCGGCCGGAAAGGCCGGATTCAGGGATCCAGAGCGCGAGCCCGGCCTGGGAGTCCGCCTACTCCCGGCTCCCGTCGAGGCCGCGTGGGATCCCGTTGGCCGCGCAGGCGTCGATCTCCCCTTTTTGACACTGCAACTCCCATGAGGCCCTGCAGCGTCCCTGGCGCCGCTGAAGACGCCCTGGAACTCGGCTGGCTTCGGAGGGCTCGGTGACTCTGGCCGCGCTGCATTATGGAATACAGAGTCTAAGAGAAAACTAGCCCGGCACCGACTCCGGACCAAGCACACGTGTTTACCTTGTGCACTGGGGTGGGGGCGTCAGTGAAGAGCAGCTAACAAGATTTCGTCATAAGACCGCGACCAGACAGGCGGCGCCATCTTCGAACTTAGACTTCCGGAAGGACTTTGGCGAGGGTGAGTGTATCGCCGCAGCGGGTGTGTGGGGGGCCCCACAATTACTCCTCCCCCTTCTTTTGCCATAGCACTAAGATATTGGGAACAAACTCCTGGCTCCGCTCTTCTCCCAGCCACAGCAGCGCGCCTTTCAGCGTCTGCGCTCCTACAGAGCACCATCATGCTCCGCACCTTCCCTACTGTGGCCACCGTGCACCCCCCATCTCTGCAAGCCTCGGGTCTTGCCCTCCTCCCCCACGCGGTGTCGGTAACGCGGAAGCCTGTGTCCGGGCGTAGGCGCTGCATACGTAGCGTCCCTCGAACTCGGCGAACCTACAGTAGTCCTTGTTAGAAAAACCAGGGCTCCTCTCCCGCACAGGCTAGGGGAGAAATCTACCTTCACGCCCAGGACTGAAGAAGGGCAGGTGATGGCCCCTAGAGTGGTTGTGGGTCAATCTCTTTCAGCTGTGTCCCAGCCTCTTCCTCGAGGAGGCTCTTTAACCCCGAGGGTTGTGCCCCGCGCGCTGCAACGCCATTGGCGTAACCAAGGGCCAGTTGTGTTTCCCTGTCTAGTCCTTTTGTCCCGTGGCAAGTTGGCTGCCTGTTGGGGAAGTCAGAGGTGGCGACTTCAACTCCGTCGGAGGCAACTCACTTTGTTGGAGGGATGTATAGGGTATGGACAAACCTCTTTGTTCCAGAGGCATATACAATTTTAAGTCAATCCCGTGCCATCACTATTTTTGCAATCTCTTATCAATTGTACTATTGTTTTCTGAATAGTTCTCTTTAAATTGACTTACTTAAAAAGTTTAAATGCATTAGTCTCGACCTAAGCAATATAAATGAAACCGTGGGTTTCATGGGCTACTTATAATTGTTTATGTAAGTTGAAATAAAAGCACTAGTCATTAAAATGTTCGTTTTCGTACCATTAAAATCATCTTGCATACCGCCAGTTGTACCCTAGGAACACTTTAGGAAACAATATATTAAGCTAAGCAGTGTATTCAAAGTAATTTCATACTTAAGGTGCAGTGTTGTGTCATTATTTTTTCTTGGCTGGGGAGGTCAAGCTGGCATCCTGGAGCAGCATGGGAACCAGACAGATTGGGGTGCAATGGAAGGTTTTAGAAACTCAGTACGAATTTACTGATCATCTATTCCTTTACTGTGTATCCAGAATTTGTACCATTACATCCTGCTGCTGCCTTCCATGAGAAGTGTATTTTTTTTTTTTTTGATACGGAGTTTTGTTCTTGTTGCCCAGGCTGGAGTGCAGTGGCGTGATCTCGGCTCACTGCAACCTCCGCCTCCCGGGTTCAAGCGATTCTCCTGCCTCAGCCTCCTGAGTAGCTGGAATTACAGGCGCGTGCCACCATGCCCGGCTACTTTTGTATTTTTAGTAGAGACGGGGTTTTACCATGTTGGTCAGGCTGGTCTCGAACTTGTGACCTCGTTATCCGCCCACCTCGGCCTCCTAAAGTGCTGGGATTACAGGCGTGAGCCACCGTGCCCGGCCAGGCAAATTATATGTACAGGCAATTCATAAAAGTCATATGGATGTCCAATATATAGAAAGAAGTTGCTGACACCAATTATTATCAGTGCAAATAAATAGAGTGGGGAAGAATTCTTTCACCTATCAGATTGGCGAAAATTAAAAAGATCAGTAACGGTATGATAAAATGGGTACTAATATACATAAATAGTTTTAATTTTGGTGAGCCGTTTGGTAGTATCAAATTTTGAAATGTGCATGTTCTTCAGTGTAGTACAGTAATTCCATGTTCAGATGATTATTCGAGAAAAATAATTTATTGATGAATTAATGAAGAGATTTGTACTAGAATATTTATTGCAGTATTTTTTGAAATAGTATTTTAACTCATTTGTTCATTAAATGAAGATTGTCTAAATAACTAATTCTATGGAATGCCATGCAGCAATTAGGAAGAATGAGATAAATATATGTATACTGATGTAGAAAATCCTTTAAAAAAAACCGGAATCTTCCTCTGTCACTCAGGCTGGAGTGCAGTGGCGTGATATCGGCTCACTGCAACCTCTCCCTCTGCCTCTTGGGTTCAAGTGATTCTCCTGTCTCAGCCTCCCGAGTAGATGGGATTACAGGCGCCTGCCACCACGCCGGGCTAATTTTTATATTTTTAGTAGAGATGGGGTTTCACCATGTTGGCCAGGCTAGTCTCCTGACCTCAAGTGATCCATCTGCCTTGGCCTCCCAAAGTGCTGGGATTACAGGCGTGAGTCACAGCACTTGGCCTAGAAAATCCTTAAGACTTGTATAGAAGCTCTCTTAACTGATTTCCATTTAGCTCCTTATGTTAACTGACATACTCTTATTTCCTCTCTAAATGCTTGAAGCTTGAAGGTTTTTCTCCTGTAGACGTGGTCAGTCTGCTTCCACTAGTTGAGTTGAATGCTTGCCAAGAGTCATTGTATTGGTTCCCACTTTTTTTGAGACAAGATCTTGCTCTGTCACCCAGGCTGGAGTCGAGTGGCATGATCACAGCTCACTGTAACCTTGAACTCCTGGGCTCAGGCGATCCTCCTGCCTCAGCCTCTCGAATAGCTAGAGCTACAGGTATTTGCCACCACACCCAGCTAATTAAACATTTTTGTTGTTGTTGTTGAGACAGGATTTTGTTATGTTGTCCAGGCTCCCACCCTTTTTTTTTTTTTTTTTAATGTTTTGCTTTGTCTTTATACATACGTTATAGGCTGGGTGTGGTGACTCAAACCTGTAATCCTAGCACTTTGGAAGTTGAAGCTAGAGGATCACTTGAGCCCAGGAATTTGAGACCAGTCTGAGTAAGATAGTTGAGACCCTGTCTCTACAAAAAAAATAAAAATTAGCTAGGCCTGCTGGTGTGTGCATGTGGTCCCAGTGACCTGAGAGGCTGAGATGGGGAGGAGCACTTGGGCCCAGGAGGTCAAGGTGCAGTGAGCCATGATCATCGCACTACTGCATTCCAGCCTGGGTGACAGGGGAAATAAATTTTAATATGAAAGAGTTATTGTTTCTATTAAAACTAAGTTGATTGGGAGGCCGAGGTGGGTGGATCACCTGAGGTTGGGAGTTTGAGACCAGCCTGGCCAACATGGTGAAATCCCATCTCTACTAAAAGTACAAAACTTAGCTGGGCATGGTGGCACATGCCTGTAATCCCAGCTACTCAGGAGGCTGAGGCAGAAGAATCACTTGAACCCCAGAGGCGGAGGCAGCGGTGAGCAGAGAGCATGCCCCTGCGCTCCAGCCTGGGAGACAGAGCGTGACTCTGTCTCAAAAAAACAAAAACAAAAAACTAAAAAACTAAGTTGAACCATAGATGGTTGTTTGCTCCTTTTTTTTTTTTTTTTGAGACGGAGTCTAGCTCTGTCGCCAGGCTGGAGTGCAGTGGTGCAATCTTGGCTCACTGCAACCTCCTGCAAGCAATTCTCCTGCCTCAGCCTCCTGAGTAGCTGGGATTACAGGGGTGTGCCGCCACACCCAGCTAATTTTTGTATTTTTAGTAGAAACGAGGTTTCACCATGTTGGCCAGGATGGTCTCGATCTCCTGACCTCATGATCTGCTCACCTCAGTCTCCCAAAGTGCTGAGATTACAGGCATGAGCCACAGCGCCCGGCCTTTTGTTGCTATCTTTATAGTATTTTATATGAAGTAAAAGTTTTGTGAAAACAATTCTAAAAAAGTAAAGGAAGCAAACTAAAACTAAATTGAATGCTTTAGAAAGACAAAAGAGGTGAGTTTGCAAACAAAAAAGCTGCCAAATAGGTGTGAATGAGACAACTGTAAAAAATTGAGGGAATTTTGTAAAACTGTGGAATTTTACTGCTCGTTGAATTGCTTCTCAAGAAAAGTGAATGTTTCAAGAAAGTAGTGTTGGAGCTGCTGAGAGGTCAACTTGAATGAGGCTGAGAAATGTCCATTGGATTAATAATACAGTGATTATTGATGATTTTAATTTCACTGATGAGTTGGGGGACAATATGCTTCTTAGGATGATGCAGGGAAATTAAAATAATCAAGGAGCTTTTATTTATATCTTAAACTTTTTTTATATCTATATACTTTTATTTATGTCTTAAAAGTTTGACTGTAGGAGGAGGAGAATATTAGTGGAAGGAGGAATATGGGGTGAAGGATAGTTATGTGTGAAGATGAGAATTATAAACATATTTAAATGCTGTTTGGAAGGAGCCAATAGAAAAGAAATGGATAAACTAATTCCAGTTCCATTAGGAGATGGGGGAATGGGGCTAGAACACAAGTGAAAGGTTTGGTGTTAGAGAGTGAATGAAGGTGTCAGAGGCAGGGAGTATTAGCTTACTTGGCAAAAAGTTGAAGTATCTCCCACCTAACGGCTTTGGTTTTGTTTCGGAAATCAAAAGCAAAATCATCTGCAGAGAATCGGGATCAGAGAATGTGTAGGGGGAGAGCATGTAGGGGCTGACTAGAGAGAAAGTGGGATTGCCAGTGCTCAGCAACTTAGATTCACACATAAAAGAGTTGGATGGTTGAACTTAACAGGGCTTGAGTTTTGCTAAGCATGTGGAACAAGAAGATGAATATCAGCGAGAATCTGATTGAAATGAAGGAATCTAAACTAGATAGGATGTGGCTGACATACAGAGAAATTGGAGAGATCAAGGGATAGTGGCTTGATACAGCTGGAGAATAAAAGTGATAGTGGGTAAGCAGTCTAGCTGTAATGATGGGAGATCAGATAGTTAGATGTCTTAGTGATTTTGGAGGTTAAGAGGTTTGGGTGATGACAAGGTTCAGAGAATGACAGCAAAGTGAGTAGCTGCGGTTTAGCTGAATGTTCTAAGCATCAAAGGAACAAGATTTTTACAAGATGGGGGGCGTGTGGGACTGTTGGTCTGCAAGTGGCATTGCAGAGGAATTGAAGGGACTGATCCCACTTTGAACCCTGAGGTAGGTGGGATGTGAGTGAATGAGCAACTTCCACTTGAGAGCCTGGAAAGTGAGAAATTTCATTGTCTGGAATTTTTTGCATCCAAGATTCTGAATATGATTTAGGTTTTACAAATCAAATATGCTCCTGGAGAACTTAAATTTGAATCTGATTTTAGAGAGGAGAAAGGCAGACTAGGAGGCATGTATTTGCTGGTGCAGATTTTGGCAGTGATGAGGTTCTGGATCAGGAGCTAGAGAAGCGGCTCTCCTATTTAGTTAGGTCACTTTCTGATTACTGCAGACACAACTTGTTTATGGAGCCATTGGCTGTGGTAGGGGCTTGTTGATTCAGCAGGTGGTTTCCCATCATAGCATATGTTTTGTTATTATTTTATTTTATATTTTTGAGATGGAGTCTCACTCTGTCACCCAGGCTGGAGTGCAGTGGCGCGATCTCAGCTCACTGCAGCCTCCACCTTCCAGGTTCCAGCGATTCTCCTGCCTCAGCCTCCTGAGTAGCTGGGACTACAAGTGCACGTGGCACCACGCCCAGCTAATTTTTGTGTTTTTAGTAGAGACGAGGTTTCACCATGTTAGCCAAGCTGGTCTCAAACTCCTGACCTTAGGTGATCCGCCCTCTTCAGCCTCCCAGAGTGCTAGGATTACAGGCGTGAGCCACCATGCCCGGCCTGCTATTTTTTATTTTTAGATACAGGGTCTTGCTCTGTGAGGATGGAATGCAGTGCCACAATCATAGCTCACTGCAGTCTTCAACTCCTGGGCATAAGTGATCCTCCCACCTCAGTCTCCCAAGTAGCTAAGACTGCAGTTGCATGCCACTACACTCAGCTAATTTTTTTTTTTTTTTTTTGAGATGGAGTCTTGCTGTGTCGCCCAGACTAGAGTGCAGTGGTGCAGTCTCGGCTCACTGCAAACTCTGCCTCCTGTATTCAAGCGATTCTCCTGCCTCAGCCTCCCGAGTAGCTGGGATTACAGGCATATTCCACCACGCCTGGCTAATTTTTGTATTTTTTAGTAGAGACGGGGTTTCATCGCTTTTGGCCAGGCTGGTCGGGAACTCCTGACCTTAGGTGATCCACCTGCCTCAGCCTCCCAGAGTGCTGGGATTACAGGCATGAGCCACCGCACCCAGCCTCAGCTAATTTTCAAAAAAAATTTTTTTGCAGAGACAAAGTCTTGCTGTGTTGCCCAGGCTGATCTTGAACTCCTGGCCTCAAGCGATCCTCCCACCTTGGCCTCCCAAAGTGTTGAGATTACAGGCATGAGCCACTGCGCCCAGCCCAGCACATGATTCTTGAGCCAGCAGCTGTAAATAAGAGCACCTTCCCAGTTTGATAAGCACTTGTTCCTACCAACTGTTTTTCCCTCAACCCTCATCGTGATCATTTATTTATGCAAGTGTTTTTCAGCTTGAGTGTGCGTCAGAATCCCCTGAAGAGCTTGTTAAAACACAAGGTGCTGGCCCCATCCAGAATTGCTGATTCGGTAGGTCTGGGGTAGAACTAGGAATTTGCATTTTAACAAATTTGCAGGTGATACTGATGCTGCAGTTTCTGGGGCCACACTTTGTGAACCTCTGATATGAACTGTTTAATACCGTGTAGTGAATTCCTTTCTGCTTGAACTGATTGGAGAGGATTCTGTTCTATGCAACTGAGCCAATATGGGGGGAATATTTATTTTATTTATATCTTCATTGTTCTTATCTACTTTGTCATTGATTAAAAGAAGTTATTGTTCTGTGTCATGAACATTTTGCTTTGTATCTTTTGATGCTGTTATTTGATGTTTAAATGTTCCTGACATTTATATCTTTTATATGATTTGAAGTTTTATTCATTATAAACTACTCCCTTTTGGGCTGGGCACAGTGGCTCATGCTTGTAATCCCAGCACTTTGGGAAACTGAGGCAGGGGGATCATTTGAGGTCAGGAGTTCAAGGCCAGCCTG
Organism: Homo sapiens; assembly: GCF_000001405.40. Taxonomy (NCBI): domain Eukaryota; kingdom Metazoa; phylum Chordata; class Mammalia; order Primates; family Hominidae; genus Homo; species Homo sapiens. Next base: position 27,349,847 of record NC_000002.12, on the reverse strand, counting down.
GCCAACACAGCCAGACCCCGTCTCTACTAAAAAATACAAAAGTTAGCCAGGCATGGTGGCACATGCCTGTAATCCCAGCTACTCGGGAGGCTGAGGCAGGAGAGTTGCTTGAACCCAGGAGGCAGAGGTTGCAGTGAGCCGAGATCACGCCACTGCATTCCAGCCTGGGCAACAGAGAGAGGCTCCGTCTCAAAAAAAAAAAATAGTACTCCCTTTATTCCTATTTAATGTTTTCCCCCTAAATTCGACTTTACTATTGTCATCAAAACTCCTCCTTTGTTTTTGCTTAGATTTTGCCCTGTACATTTTAGTTGATCTTTGTATTTTCAGCTTTTTGAGTTATTTTGTTTTAGGCATCTCTTGAAAAGCATATAGTTATTTGTCTTTTAAAATCAAATCAGGGCTGGGCGCAGTGGCTCACGCCTGTAATCCCAGCACTTTGGGAGGCCGCGGCGGGCGGATCACGAGGTCAGGAGATCGAGACCATCCTGGCTAACACGGTGAAACCCCGTCTCTACTAAAAATAAAAAAAATTAGCCGGGCATGATGGCGGGCGCCTGTAGTCCCAGCTACTCGGGAGGCTGAGGCAGGAGAATGGCGTGAACCCGGGAGGCGGAGCTTGCAGTGAGCCGAAATCGCGCCACTGCACTGCAGCCTGGGCAACAGAGCAAGACTCTGTCTCAAAAAAAAAAAAAAAAAAAAATCAAATCAGGCTGGGCACAGTGGCTCACACCTGTAATCCCAGCACTTTGGGAGGCCAAGGCAGGCAGATCACTTGAGGTCAGGAGTTTGAGACCAGCCTGGCCAACATGGTGAAACCCCATCTCTACTAAAAATACAAAAATTAGCTGGGTGTGGTGGCGGCCGCCTGTAATCCTAGCTACTGGGGAGGCTAAGGCAGGAGAATCACTTGAACCTGGGAGGCAGAGGTTGCAGTGAGCTGAGATCAGGCCACTGCACTCCAGCCTGGGTGACAAGAGCAAGACTCCATTTCAAAAATAAATAAATAAATACAAAATTAAAATCAAACCAAATCTTTATTATTTTTTCTTTTGAGATAGCATCTTGCTCTGTCTGCCCAGGCTGGGATGCAGTGGTGTGATCTTGGCTTCACCTCCCAGGCTCAAGTGATTCTCGTGCCTCAGTCTCCTGAGTAGCTGGGATCACAGGCTTGTGCCACCATGCCCAGCTAATTTTTGTATTTTTACTAGAGATGGGGTTTCGCTATGTTGGCCAGGCTGGTCTCAAATTCCTGGCCTCAAGCAATCTGCTTGCTTCGGCCTCCCAACATACTGGGAATACAGGCATGAGCCTGTACCTGGTCCTATTCTTTCTTTTAATGGATGAGTTTAAATGATATGTGTTTATTGTTATGATACATGTTTTCGGTTTTTTTGTTTGTTTTTTGTTTTTTGAGACAGAGTCTCAACTCCAGGCTGGAGTGCAGGAACGCGATCTCTGCTCACTGCAGCCTCCACCTCCCAGGCTCAAGTGATCTTCTCACTTCCAATTCCTGAGTGGCTGGGACTACAGGTCCCTGCTGCCCACCATGCCCAGCTAGTTTTTTTTTTTTTTTTCCCTCAGACGGAGTCCTGCTCTGTCGCCCAGGCTGGAGTGCAATGGCACTATCTTGGCTCACTGCAACCTCTGCCTCCCGGGTTCAAGCAGTTCTCCTGCGTCAGCCTCCCAAGTAGCTGGGATTAAGGCACGCGGCACCACACCCAGCTAATGTTTGTATTCTTAGTAGAGACAGGGTTTCACCATGTTGGCCAGGTGGTCTCAAACTCTTGACCTCGTGATTGGCCCGTCCGGGCCTCCTAAAGTGCTGGGATTACAGGCGTGAGCCACTGCACCTGGCCCTGTTTTGGTATTTTTCTGTAGAGACAGGGTTTTGCCATGTTGCCCAGGCTGGTCTCAAACTCCTGGGCTCAAGGGATCCTCCCACCTCTGCCTCCCTAAGTGCAGGGATTACAGGCATGAGCCACTGGGTCCTGCCCTAAACTCACCCTTTTATAATGACACTGATCTGACTGGTCAGGGTGGAGCCCTTGTGGCCTAATCATCTCTTAAAGATCCCACCTCTTAATACTGTTACAAATGGGAATTAAATTTCAACATGAGTTTTGGAGGGGATGTTCAAACCCTAGCTCTTGGATTTCACAATCCATTTGATGTTTTTGAAAGTGCAGGAATTTTTTGTTGGAAATTTCCTTCTGTTTTCTGAATCACTTCTTCAAAAGGGTACTCTTCATCTTTCTATCCTTTTCTTTCGGTATATGCATAGGTCCTTTTGGCTTGTGACTAATTTTGAATGGGGTAGTTCTGTCAGGGCTTCTTATTTATCACAGGAATAATATAGATGGATTTTCACTGACCTTTATTTACCTTGGCAGTGTTATAATGTATCTTTAGCACATGTGTTTTCTTGTATCCTCAGCACCTGCCTCAGAGGGTTGGCCATTGCTATAGTTTATAATCTGGTTAGACTGTAGCTTCTTCAAGTGAGACAGTTGGAAGCTTTTATTTTATATTTCTTATGGGATTTGTATAAGCACACTTTTCCACTGAGACTGATGAATTGTTTATTCTTAAGGCGTATATATAGATCTGTGGGGGGCGGGGTCCCATCCTGGGATTTGAACTATGTCTGCCCCTTTGTCACAGACAGGCAGGTTATTCTGGCCAAAAACTGGACCCTTGGAGAGTTCTGTGTTGCTTAGGTTTCGGGTTTGGTGGTCAGTGATTTATCTTAGTTTACTTTGGCCCATGGTTATACAACTAATTTTTTGGGGTTTGAAGAAAATGAAGACTCATGACAATTTAGTCAATTCTTCAATGTGGAAAGGTTTCTTGGCCAGACATGGTGGCTTACACCTGTAATCCCAGCACTTTGGGAGGCCAAGGTGGGAGGATCTCTTGAGGTTAGGAATTCAAGACAAGCCTGGGCAAAATAGCAAGACCCAATCTGCACAAAAAAATTAAAAACGTATCTGGGCGTATTGGTGCACATTTGAAGTCTTGGCTATTTGGGAAGCTGGGGAGGGAGGACTGTTTGAACCCAGGAGTTAGTGGCTGCAGTGAGCTGTGATCACACCACCACATTCTAGTCTGGGTGACAGAGCGAGATCCTGACTCAGAAAAAAAAAATTTTTTTTAATTTTTAAAAATTAAAAAAGGCAAGGCATAGTGGTTTATGCCTGTAATCCCAGCATTTTGGGAGACGAAGTTGAGAGAATTGCTTGAGTCCAGGAGTTTGAGTATGTAATCACGCCACTGCACTCCAGCCTGGGCAACATGGTGAAACTTAGTCTCTACAAAAAATACAAAAATTAGTCAGGCATGGTGGTGCATGCCTGTAGTCCCAACTACTCAGGCGGCTGAGGTGGGAGGATCACTTGAGCCTGGGAGGTCCAGGCTGCAGTGAGCTGTGATTGCACCATTGCACTCCAGCCTGGGTTACAGAATGAGACTCTGTCTCAAAAAAAAAAAAAAAAAAAAAAAAAAAAAAAAAAAAAAAGGTATCAGAATGGGCACGGTGGCTAACACCTATAATCCCAACATTTTGGGAGACCGAGGTGGAAAGATTGCTTGAGCCCAGGAATTCAAGACCATCCTGGGCAACGTAGTGAGACCTCATCTCTACAAAAAATTTAAAAATTAGCCAGGCATGGTGATACATGCCTATAGTCCTAGCTACTTGGGAGGCTGAGGCAGGAGGATTGCTTGAGCTCTGGAGGACAAGGCTGCAGTGAGCTGTGATCACACCACTGCACCACTCCAGTCTGGGTGATAGAACAAGAGCGTGTCTCAAAAAAAAAAAAAAAAAAAAAAGTGGCGGGGCACAGTGGCTCAAGTCTGTAATCCTAGCACTTTGCGGGGCCAAGGTGGGCAGATCACCTGAGGTCAGGAGTCCAAGACCAGCCTGGTCAACATGGTGAAACCCCATCTCTACTAAAAATACAAAAATTTAGCTGGGTGTGGTGGCGGGCACCTGTTGTCCCAGCTACTCGGAAGGCCGAGGCAGGAGAATTGCTTGAACCTGGGAGGCAGAGGTTGCAGTGAGCCGACATCACGCCACTGCACTCCAGCCTGGGCAACGATAGTGAAACTCCATCTCAAAAAAAAAAAAAAAGGAAAAGCTTTCTTAACATAATAGGATGTTCCTTAATTGTCCCATAGTCTACCCACCACCCCCATCCAGGTGAAATATTGATAGCAGGGCACCAGAGAACTCTTTGACTCATTCTTTTTTTTAAAGACAGAGTCTCACTCTGTCACCCAGGCTGGAGTACGGTGGCATGATCTCGGCTCGCTGCAACCTCCACCCCACGGGTTCAATTGATTCTCTTGCCTCCGCCTCCTGAGTAGCTGGGATTACAGGCGCCTGCCACCATGCCCAGCTAATTTTTGTATTTTTAGTGGAGATGGGGTTTCACCATGTTGGCCAGGCTGGTCTCGAACTCCTGACCTCAGGCAATACGCCTGCCTCAGCCTTTCAAAGTGCTGGGATTACAGGTGTGAGCCACCGTGCCTGGCCAACTCATTCTTTTTAAAAAATAAATTCATTTATTTATTTACTTGAGACGGTGTTGCTTTGTTGCCCAGGCTGGAGTGCAGTGGTGTGATTACAGCTCACTGCAGCCTCGACCTCCTGGGCTCAAGGAGCCTCCCAAGTCTTCAGCCTCCCAAGTAGCTGAGACTACAGGTGTGCACCACCATGTTTTTTTGTAGCAAAGGAGTCTCACTCTGTTGCCCAGGATGGTCTTGAATTCCTGGACTCAAGCCATCCTTCTGCCTTGTCCTCTCAAAGTGCTGGAATTACAGGCATGAGCTATCGTGCCTGGCCAGAAAATTATTTTTAAATGTTTTTATTTAAAATACCATACCCAGGCTGGAGTATGGTAACACCATCATAGCTCACTGTAACCTCGAACTCCTAGGCTCAAGCAATCCTCCTGTCTCAGCCTTCCAAGTAGCTGGGACTACAGGTGCGCACCACCATGCCCGGCTAACTTTTAAAATTTTTTGTAGAGATGAGGTCTCCCTATGTTGCCCAGACTGGTCTTGAACTCCTGGCCTCAAGCAGTCCTTCTTCCTTGGCCTCTCAAAGTGTTGGAATTACAGGCATGAGCCATCCTGCCTGGCCTTTTACTTATTCTTAAATAAACTTATTCCTTGACTAATCTTTACAGAAAGAGATGTTAACATTAAGTATGCCTCTTCACTTTGGTCTAAATTTTGTAGTATCTGGCAGCTCTTTTTTGTAGTATATTTTGAGGAAGTTGGTGTCCCTTTCCTAGATTCATGCTAGACAAATTTTTCTCTCTCTTCTTTTTTGGAGTGTGTGTATGTCTGTGTGTGTGTGTTTTATTTCATTGGGTTTCAGAGACAGAGGTTAAATAATTGTGCATTCACTGCTTCATCCTTACAAGAAAATATATGAGCTTTAAATTAGATAATGTATGTATAGCACTTAGTATAGTGCTTGGCACATAGTTAGCATTTAATAAATGGAAGCTTTATGGCCAGGCGCAGTGACTCATTATCTGTAATCCCAGCACTTTGGGAGGTTGAGGCGGGTGGATCACCTGAAGTCAGGAGTTTGAGACCAGCCTGGCCCACATGGTGAAACCTCATCTCTATTAAAAATACAAAAATTAGCTGGGCGTGGTGGTGCGCACCTTGATCCCAGCTACTCAGGAGGCTGAGGCAGGAGAATTGCTTGAACCCAGGAGGTGGAGGTTGTAGTGAGCTGAGATTGCCCCATTACACTCCAGCCTGGGCAACGAGAGTGAAACTCCGTCTTTAAAAAAAAAAAAAAATGGAAGCTTTATTTGTTTACTTGTTTATTGTCTGCTTCACCAAAATGTAAGTTCCATGAGGGCAGGGACCTTGTCTGTCTTGTTTATTGTCATATCACCAGTTTCCTTTTTTGTTTTTAATTTTTTTATTTTATTTTATTTTGCTAGAGAAGGGGTCTTGCTGTGTTGCCCAGGCTAGCCTCAAACTCCTAAGCTCAAGCTGCCTTCCTGCCTCAGCCTCCCTAAGTGCTGGGATTACAGGTGTGAGCCACCGCACCTGGCTCATATTACCAGTTTCCAGAACAGTCCTGACATATAGAAGGTGCTTAGTAAATATTGTTGAATAAGTGAATAATCAGGGAACTTGGTTATGAGTGTGAGAATGAGGGAGAAAAGATGGGGAAATAAAAATCTGAGCTAGTACAAATAGTTTTTGTCCTCTACTCATTTGTGTGTCTCTGTATGCAGGGGCAGCCATTTTGGGGGGTGCTGATGGATACCTGCGGGGTCGGCTATGTTGCCCTGGGGGAGGCCGGCCCCGTGGGGAACATGACTGTGGTAGACTCTCCTGGACAAGAGGTGCTAAATCAGCTTGATGTCAAGACCTCTTCAGAAATGACCAGTGCAGAGGCTTCCGTAGAGATGTCATTACCTACCCCTTTGCCTGGATTTGAGGATTCTCCTGATCAGAGGAGGCTCCCTCCAGAGCAGGAAAGCCTCTCCAGACTGGAACAGCCAGGTATGTACCTTGTCCTCTTATCTTTTTATTCCCCATGCCAAGCTTAAGATGAAAGAGCAGATTGAGCTCATAGGATCTTACAAACCTGGGTACAGTGTAATCTTTTCCATAGAGGTTTGAGTTCTGGTCCCATCTCACAGACCCATATTCTTCTCCACAGATCTTTCTTCAGAGATGTCAAAGGTCTCAAAGCCTAGGGCCTCAAAGCCTGGCCGGAAGAGAGGTGGTAGGACACGAAAAGGCCCCAAAAGGCCCCAACAGCCTAATCCTCCATCAGCCCCACTGGTTCCTGGTCTCTTAGATCAATCCAACCCTCTGTCCACCCCCATGCCTAAGAAACGAGGTCGAAAGTCCAAGGCAGAGCTGCTGCTGCTGAAGTTGTCAAAAGACCTAGATCGGCCAGAATCTCAATCTCCAAAGAGGCCCCCTGAGGACTTTGAGACCCCTTCTGGGGAACGACCCCGCCGAAGGGCTGCCCAAGTGTAAGGATTGTGGGGCATAGCTTGGTGGAGGGGGGTTGGGTGAAGGGATCAGGGTGGGGCAGATGTTGGAGAGAGAAGACTGATGAGGTATTAGGTAAGCAGGGGTGGTGTCTGGATTCTAGGGACTTGAGCAGTCCTTTAGGCTCTTACCGCAGCACTATTAATGGTATGTATTGCTAACTTGGTTTATCTAAGAATTATTGTCTGTACTTTATGTCCTATGCCATTTTTCACAAACTTTACCCAGCTCTTTATTGTTTTACTGTCCAGTATATGTCAGTATATATATTCTGTTCCATTCTTTCTCTTGCCCTCTGTGTTCTTTGACTGTGGTAGGATGAAAAATGTATTGAACTTGGAGTGAGAAGACCTGGGTTCAGATTCCACATTTGTTATCTCAGTCATCTCGGCCAAGTCACATAACTTAGATTTCTGGTTTTTCATCTTCCAAGGGGGAAGGGGAAATTAATAGAGTTAATTGGTTAATCATGGGGTTATTGGGAGGCTCCATTGAGATAAAAATCAACCATGTCTGGAAACGTGGGTTCTCAGTCATATGTGAGAATGGCTCTGACTCTGTCCGTTCCCACAGGGCACTTCTGTATCTTCAGGAACTGGCTGAAGAGCTCTCAACAGCCCTGCCTGCCCCTGTGTCCTGTCCTGAGGGCCCCAAGGTGAGCAGCCCCACCAAACCGAAGAAGATCCGGCAGCCAGCAGCCTGTCCAGGTGGAGAAGAGGTGGATGGTGCTCCACGGGATGAAGACTTTTTTCTCCAGGTTGAGGCTGAAGATGTGGAAGAAAGTGAGGGCCCAAGTGAGAGCTCATCTGAACCTGAGCCTGTAGTGCCCCGAAGCACCCCACGAGGATCTACTTCAGGGGTAACCTCAATGGACAAGAAAGTGAATGGGGACATAGTAGGATTTTAGGGGACCAGCAAGGTACTGAGAAAGGAAGGACAGCTTTGACCTGGTAACTATAATAGACAAAACAGGTTAAAGAAAAAAGGGTCCATTTCCAAAACATTTGGCATATTAGGGAGAGCGCAGAAGAAGGGGTATGGTAAACAAGATTATTCATTCATATATTGAGTATCTGTTCTCTGTTAGGAAACACAACAAACGTAAATAAGACAGTGTATCCTGCCTCACAAGTTCACAGTGCAATCAGCACTACCCCAGGAGTGAACAAAATGATTTAGGCATATAAAGGAAAGGGTAATTAACTGCCTAGGCTTCACAGAGGAATGATAGTTGAATTGCTTCTTGAAGGATAAGTAGAAGTTTGCCAGAGAGGATGGTTTTCCCATAAATTGATTATGGCTGGAGCATAGAGCCTGGAGTAAAGTTGTAGGCGAGATTAAACTGGAGAATATGAAAGGACATAGACCTATAGGAACCAACAAAGGCTGTTTTTGTTTATGGTTTTTTTTGGTGGTAAAATGTATATAACATAAAATTTGCCATTTTAACCATTTAAAAATACACAATTGAGGCTGGGCGTGGTGGCTTATGCCTGTAATCCCAGCACTTTGGGAGGCCAAGGCAGGTGGATCACCCGAGGTCAGGAGTTTGAGACCAGACTGACCAATATAGTGAAACCCCGTCTCTCCTAAAAATACAAAAATTAGCCAGGCATGGTGGCACGCACCTGTAGTCCCAGCTACTTGGGAGGCTGAGACAGGAGAATCACTTAAACCAGGCAGGGAGAGGTTGCAGTGAGCTGAGATCATGCCACTGCACTCCAGCCTGGGTGAGACAGTGAGACTCCATCTCAAAAACAAAACAAAACAAAACAAAACACACAATTCAGTTGTACACAAACTGTACAACAAACATTTTTAAGTAGAAAAATAACATCAGTTGGGAAAATAGGTCAAACTATAGTTGACAGAAGACAGCTTTGCCAGATGCGGTGGCTCACGCCTGTAATCCCAGCACTTTGGGAGGCCAAGGTGGGTGGATCACAAGGTCAAGAGTTCGAGACCAGCCTGGCCAACATAGTGAAACACCGTCTCTACTAAAAATAAAAAAAAAAAAAATTAGCTGGATGTGGTGGCGCACGCCTGTAATCCCAGCTACTCAGGAGGCTGAGGCAGGAGACTCGCTTGAACCCAGTAGGCGGAGGTTGCAGTGAGCTGAGATTGCACCATTGCATTCCAGCCTGGGTGACAGTGTGAAACTGTCTCAAAAAAAAAAAAGACAGTTTCAGTTATCCAGGTAAGAGATAGGTCCTAAATCAAGCAGTGAAGGAAGAGAAGAGCAGGGAGGGGGCAGATTCAAGAGATATGTAAGAGGCCAGGTGCGGTAGCTCACACCTGTAATCTCAGCACTTTGGGAAGCCAAGGCAGGTGGATCACTTGAGGCCAGGGGTTTGAGACCAGCTTGGCCAACATAGTGAAACCCTGTGTCTACTAGAAATACAAAAATAATTAGCTGGGTGTGGTGGCATACACCTGTAGTCCCAGCTACTCGGGAGGCTGAGGCAGGAGAATCACTTGAACCCAGGAGGCAGAGGTTGCAGTGAGCTGAGATCGCGTTATTGCACTCCAGCCAGACTCTGTCTTTAAAAAAAGAAGAGATATGTAAGGTAATTTTTTATTTTTATTTTTGTAATTCTTTTGTTTCTGTGTTCTCTCACATAATGGAATATGTAAGAGAATTAACAGTATTTGGGAATTGAAGGGAGGGAGGAAGTTGAATAGCAGTTTCCAGCTTAAATGGTGGCATCATGCACTGAACCTGGGAACACGAAAAGGGTGAGGGATGTGGGAGGGGCAAAGGTGGGGAGGGGAGAAGTTGAATTCACTTTCTTTTTTCCCTTTTTTTTTTTTTTTTTTTTTGAAACAGAGTCTTGCTCTGTCACCCAGGCTGGAGTGCAGTGGAGTGATCTCATCTCACTGCAACCTCTGCCTCCTGGGTTCAAGTGATTCTCCTGCCTCGGCTTCCCAAGTAGCTGGGATTAAAGGCACGCCCCACCACGCTCAGCTAACTTTTGTATTTTTAGTAGAGATGGGGTTTCACCATGTTGGCCAGGCTGGTCTTGAATTCTTGACCTCAAGTGATCTGCCCGCCTTGGTCTCCCAAAGTGCTGGGATTACAGATGTGAGCCACCACACCTGACAGAATTCACTTTCTGACATGTTGAGTTTGAGGTGCCCATGGGCCATGGGTCATTCTGCTGGAGATGTCTGGTCACCAGTTGCATATATGAGACCAGTGCCTTACTTGCCTCACGTGCAACATCTAAGGGATAACAGAAACCCTCAGTAATTGAGATAAATGCTATTTTGATGCAACATTTAAAAAAATCAATGCAACAAATCATGGATATTTCGTTCCATGATGAACAAAATATCAAAATTTTAAATAAAGACAGGATCTTTACTGATTTTTTTTTTCTTTTTTTTTTTTTTTTTTGAGACGGAGTTTCGCTCTTATTGCCCAGGCTGGAGTGCAATGGCATGATCTCAGCTCACCACAACCTCCACCCCTCCCGGGTTCAAGCAATGCTCCCGCCTCAGCCTCCCAAGTAGCTGAGATTACGGGTGCACACCACCACACCCAGCTAATTTTTGTATTTTTAGTAGAGATGGGGTTTCACCGTGTTGGTTAGGCTGGTCTCGAACTCCTGACCTCGTGATCCGCCCGCCTCGGCCTCCCAAAGTGCTGGGATTACAGGCATGAGCCACCATGCCCGGCTTTACTGATTTTTTCAACTGATTACTGTTTTTTTCCATTTGCCTCATGCTCTAATATGGCTTGCCACAACACTGTCTAGAACTTGTAGAGAAGTTGAGACTGAGTCAGGTTTACATGACGGAAATGTAAACTTGATAATCAGGCATAAAGATGGTAGTCAAGCTGGGTTTGGTGGTATGCATTTGTACTTCAAGCTACTCAGGAGGCTGAGGCAAGAGGATTGCTTGAGCCCAGGAGTTCAAGTCTGGCATGGGCAACACAGCAAGACCCTGTCTCTAAATTTTAAAGAAGGCCAGGTGTGGTGGCTCACACCTGTAATCCCAGCACTTTGGGAGGCCGAGGGGGAGGGATCGCTTGAGCCCAGGAGTTCAAAACCAGTCTGGGCCATGGCGAAACCTTGTCTCTACAAAAAAATACAAAAAAATTAGCCAGGTGTAGTGGGGTGTGCCTGTAGTCCCAGCTACTCAGGAGGCAGAGGTGAGAGGATTGCTTGAGCCCAGGAGGCAGAAGCTGGGGCTGCAGTGAGCCAAGATTGCGCCACTGCACTCCAGCCTGGGCAACAGAGTGAGACCCTATCTCAAAAACAACAAAAAAACAAAAAGACAGTAGTCAAAGCCATGGGACATGAGATGAGATTACCAGGAGTGTGTGTGTGTGTGTGTGTGTGCGCGCGTGCGCGTGCGCGCCTGTGTAGAGGGGCGAGAAGACGACAGGAACTCTGGGGAATACCATCATCGAGGAGACCTGTCAAGAAGGGAGAACCTGTGAAGGAATATTAAGAGAGGGGAGAGGAGTAAGGGAGACTATTCCATAGGGCGGGAGTTTCAAAGAGGCATAAGGGAATCCTGTGAATCAAATACCATGGAGATGTTGAGGAAGCTGAACAGAAAATAGGTAACAGATTTTGCATTTTCGATGGAGGAGTAGAGCAGAAGGTGAAGAAGTCATTATAGTGGTTGAAACACAAATCTTTTAAGATGCTGATAGGGCAGTGATTGGAGGGGGAGGTATTGCCAAAGAAGATAAAAACTGGGAAAGAGCTGTCTCTGGGACTTTGTCCAACCTGTAGAATTTGCTCCCTTATATTTTCTTCAATTTGATCCTCAGAAACAGAAACCACACTGCCGAGGAATGGCTCCCAATGGCTTACCAAATCATATCATGGCTCCTGTTTGGAAGTGCCTCCATCTCACCAAGGACTTGTGAGACTTGGGGACAGGGGGCTGGGGTTAATAAAGGGGTGGTAGAGGAGTGCAAGGGCGGTATTGAAGTGGGGCCGTGGGAAAGAGAAGCACTCATGGGTGGAATACCGTGATGACATTCATTACTAAAAAGCACTGCTCTAGAGGCAAGAGCTCTAGAACTCTTTAATTAAAGTGAAATAAAATGAAAGGCTCTGTTTCTCAGCTGCGCTAGCCACATTTTAGGTGCTTGGTAGCTAATTGGAGCTAGCAACTGGCATATTGGGGAGCACAGATAATGGATCATTTCCATCCCCACAGAAAGTTTTATTGGACTGTGCGGCTGTAGAATCCCTCTCCTTCATTAATGCTTCTTCTGTTTCTCCAGCCGAGAGCAGAAACATTCATACTGGGAGTTTGCTGAGTGGATTCCTTTAGCCTGGAAGTGGCACTTGTTATCTGAGCTGTAAGTTGAAGCAACATCTCTGTAGCTTAGGAAGGGTGACACCACTGGAGACGAAAGGGTGACAGAGGCTCTATAATGGGAACCCTGAGATGGGTGAAACACTTCCAAATTTAGACTGTTCCCTTTGTCTTCCCCCAGTGAGGCCGCTCCCTACCTGCCCCAGGAGGAGAAGTCTCCATTGTTTTCTGTACAACGTGAAGGGCTACCTGAAGATGGCACCCTCTACCGAATAAACAGGTGAAGATTGCACATCCGCCCTTTTTTCTGATTCTAGGAGCCAGAAACAAGAAAAATGAATGTTGAAAGAGATGACAGATAAGTCCTGTCCTTCCCCTGATGCTGGTTCAGTTGGTCCCAAGAATAAGAGTGCTGACTAGAGCTGGTCAGTCCTCTCTGATTTGTAGTGTTCATTACTGGCAGGCTGAGGGAAGCTAGAGAGATTTAGGGGCCAAAGCAGTTCACAAGGTTACATCTACTCAGATAGACCTGGACAGACTAGCCTTAGGGAGACTACTATAGTATGCCAGAATGAACAGCCCTGAAGATGAGCTGGAGTTAGACAGACTTTGGAGGCCGGGTGTGGTGGCTCACACCTGTAATCTCAGCACTTTGGGAGGCCAAAAAGGGAGGATTACTTGAGCCCACGAGTTCAAGACCAGCCTAGGAAACATAGCAAGACCCCTATCTCTACAAAGAATTTAAAAATTAGTGGGGTATGGTGGCATATGCCTGTAGTCCCAGCTACTCCAGAGGCTGAGGTGGGATAACCACTTGAGCCTGGGAGGTCACGGCTGCAGTGAACCGTCGATCATGCCACTGCACTCCATCCTGGGTGACAGACCCCATCTCAAATAATAATAATATAAGACAGACTTTGGGAAGGAAAGGAGGAAGATACAAGTGGAAGCCAAGGACTCTGTTCTCACTTGTAAACTGTTTTTGATATTCAGGCTCTTGCTTGAGCCAGTTCATACTGGCTCTGGGTGGAGCGCCCATTCAGTCCTCATTACCTTTCATTAATTCCTTTCTTCATCCCATCTTTGATTTTTCTCTAGATTTAGCTCGATCACAGCACATCCAGAGCGCTGGGATGTGTCCTTCTTCACGGGGGGACCGCTCTGGGCTCTGGACTGGTGCCCAGTGCCAGAGGGGGCAGGAGCCTCGCAATATGTGGCTCTTTTCTCCAGCCCTGACATGAATGAGACACACCCACTGAGCCAGCTTCATTCGGGTCCTGGGCTGCTCCAGCTCTGGGGCCTTGGGACCTTGCAGCAAGAAAGCTGGTGAGGTGGGGTTGGACACTGCCATGGGAGGGTGGTTGAGGACAGCAGGATGGGGTCTGGACAGGATAGGGGGAAGGGCTTGGATTGGGCTGAGACAAGGGGAGCTTACCTCTGGCAGCCCTGCGTCCCTTCTTCCTACCCACCATCCCCACATGCTCTCTCTCTCCAGTCCTGGCAACAGGGCCCACTTTGTCTATGGGATTGCTTGTGACAACGGCTGCATCTGGGACCTCAAGTTCTGCCCCAGTGGAGCATGGGAACTTCCAGGCACCCCTCGGAAGGTACTTCCCAGTCAACTGTGGGATGGCCCTAGGACTCAAAGCCAGGACAAAGAGGCCCTGGGAATTCTTAGAGTTGAAGGAACGAAGGTTGGAGTGTAGTGGATGGAGTTTTTCCAGCAACTTCATACAGTATTTCAGGGACTAGAACCTCAAAGGTTTTCTGTGAGTCAGCTGAAGGCAGCAAGCCTCAGCATACCTTTTACCCTTTAGGCTCCTCTCCTGCCCCGGTTGGGTCTCTTGGCTCTGGCCTGCTCAGACGGGAAAGTACTGCTATTCAGTCTACCCCATCCGGAGGCCCTGCTGGCTCAGCAACCCCCAGGTGAGTAGCACAGCAAGGAGAATGGGGCTGCTGTAGTGGTGGTCACAGCATAGCAGGGCCTGTCTGTCTCCCTGGAAACTCCTCTGGGCCAGTCTCTCTTAGCACAAAGCCTTACTCAGCCACACACACACCCTGCATTGTGACTCAGGTTTGTTCTTGAGCCCTCTCTCTTTTGCAGTCTTACAGCTGTACTCTTTCAGCACATTTCCTTTTATCTCCCCCTTCTTCCCTCTTCTGTGCTCTCAAGACTTTCCCCCTCTTGCTGCCACAGGTAACTGGCTGTGTAAAGAGCTGCTGAGGGCTTGGGCTGATAGATAGGGCCCATCTCCCCTGCTATACTCTTGTTCCCCCAATCCTGTTCTTAGCCTCTCCTGCCCTCACCACCACACAAACACAATCTCTTGTTCTGCTGAAGAGAGGGATGGAATAGAGAGCTGAAGATGAGCAAAAGGAGGGAGGAGTCAGGAAAAGGCAGCTCCTATATGTTGAATTTATTTTTCATTAGTACTGAGTATTTAAAGAAGAGGGCACCCAGGCTGGAGCCCTGGGAAGTCCCATATGTGGTGGTCTGGTGGAGTGGGTTGAGGAGGTAATAGAAGGTCAGAAAGTAAAGATAGTAAATATAGACCATTCTTTCAAGAAGTTTGGCTGTGGGGCTGGGCATGGTGGTCCATGCCTTAATTCCAGTACTTTGCGAGGCCTAGGTGGGAGGATTGCTTGAGCCTAGGAGTTTGAGACCAGCTGGGGCAATATAATGAGATGTCGTCTCGACAAAAAAATTTTTAAAAGTAGCCGAACATAGTGGTGCATGCCTGTAATCCCAGCTACTTGGGAGGCTGAGGTGGGAGGATCACTTATGCCCAGGAGGTTGAGGCTGCAGTGAACTGAGATTGTGCCACTGCACTGTAGCCTGGGCGGCTTAGTGAGATGCTGTCTGAAAAAAAAAAAAAAATTTCGCTGTGAAGGGGAACCAGTAATTGAGGGTGGTGGATTGCCTAAGTGTGGTCAATAAAGGAAGGTTTTGTCCCTTTATTTGGATAGGAGACATTAGGGCATGTTCACATAGCAATATGGGAGTGACCTAGACTAGGGAGGGAACAAGTGGATGACACAGGAGGAAGGAGGATAACAGAATGAGCAGTGTTCTGGAAAAGGTGCTAGAGGATGAGAAGAGAGTAGAGTGAAGGGATTGCTCTTCTGATAGGAGGAAGGATACTATCAGGTGTAACAGAAGGAAAGAAGATGGGAACAGATAGAGGTAGGTTCATAAATTTGGTGATGAAAAGATAAGGACTTTCTCAATAAAGGATAAGGGAATGTCATTATTCAAAGGATTGGTTGCTGATTTAAGAGAAGGCCTGTGTCCACAGAGGAGGTCTAAAGGAAAAAAAAAAAAAGGCAAGGCCTGGCTAGGCATGGTGGCTCACACTTATAATCCCAGCATTTTGGGAGGCTGAGGCAGGAGGATTGCTTGAGCCCAGGAGTTGGAGGCTGCAGTGAGCCATGATCATGCCACTGCACTCGGGCCTGGGTGACAGAGTAAGACCTGCTGAGTCCTTGGGATCCATAGAGTTAGTTCCTGCTCTTTTTCCTCACAGATGCAGTGAAGCCTGCCATATATAAGGTGAGTGAGGAACCTGCTACCTTAGCTGAGGCTCCATCTTCTTAGAGCCTCACCTTGCTGATTCCACAGTGAGTCTCCTTATACTTCTGAAAAATACCCTCATCCTGCTGGATTAAGCACTGATTTGAGCTTTCGTTCCAAACAGTGTAGGTGTCCCTAACCCTAGTCCCATCTCTTCTTTCCCTGCAGGTACAATGTGTGGCAACTCTGCAGGTGGGGTCTATGCAAGCTACAGACCCCTCTGAGTGTGGTCAGTGCCTTAGCCTGGCCTGGATGCCTACCAGGCCCCACCAACACCTAGCTGCTGGATATTATAATGGTAAAAAAACCAAAATAAAACATAAGGAACTATTGCTCTTTAAATTTTTTATATATGCTTGTTTTTTGGTTCTTTCTTTGGTGGTTCAATACTGGACATATAGTTAGAAATATTCAAGCAATGTAAAAAAAAAAAAATAGAAAGAAATAAGTCACTAGACTATTTCTACTCAGAAAAAAATTAAGAGTACATAGATGCTGGGCCAGGCGCGGTAGCTCACGCCTATAATCCCATCCTATTGAGAGGCTGAGGCAGGCAGATCTCTTGAGGTCAGGAGTTCAAGACCAGCCTGGCCAATACAGCGAAACCCTATCTCTACCAAAAAAATACAAAAAATTAGCTCAGGATGGTGGCACATGCCTGGAGTCCTAGCTACTTGGGAGGCTGAGGCCTGAGAACCCAGGAAGCATAGGTTTCAGTGAGCCAAGATCACACCCCTGCACTCCAGCCTGGGCAACAGTGAGATCCTGTCTGGAAAAAAAAAAAAAAAAAAAAAGAGTAGATGCCGGCCAGGTGTGGTGGCTCATGCCTATAATTCCAGTACTTTGGGTGGCCAAGATGGGAGGGAATCACTTGAGGCTGGGAGTTCAAGACCAGCTGGGCAACCTAGTGAGACCTCATCATTAAAAATAATAAAATTTTGCCGGGTGCAGTGGCTCACACCTGTAATCCCAGCACTTTGGGAGGCTGAGGCAGGTGGATCATGAGGTCAAGAGATGGAGACCATCCTGGCCAACATGGTGAAAGCCTGTCTCTACTAAAAATACAAAAATTAGCTGGGTGTCATAGATTGCACCTGTAGTCCCAACTACTGGGGAGGCTGAGGCAGGAGAATCGCTTGAAGCTGGGAGACGGAGGTTGCAGTGAGCCAAGATCATGCCACTGCACTCCAGCCTGGCAACAGAGGGAGACTCCATCTCAAAAAAATAATAAAATTTTTAGGCCGGGCACGGTGGCTCACGCCTGTAATCCCAGCACTCTGGGAGGCCGAGGCAGGCAGATCACGAGGTCAGGATATCGAGACCATCCTGGCTAACACGGTGAAACCCCATCTCTACTAAAAATACAAAAAATTCCCCGGGCGTGGTGGCGGGCTCCTGTAGTCCCAGCTACCCGGGAGGCTGGGTCAGGAGAATGGCGTGAACCCGGGAGGCGGAGTTTGCAGTGAGCCGAGATGGTGCCACTGTACTCTAGCCTGGAGGACAGAGCGAGACTCTGTCTCAAAAAAAAAACTAAAAATAATAAAATTTTTAAAAAATTAAAAAGTGAGGAACATCATTTCATGCAGTTCTTTATAGATAAAAATAGAAAGATTAGAGGAAAGAGTTTTATAAAAATGGGATCAGCCAGGCATGGTGGCTCACACCTG
Organism: Homo sapiens; assembly: GCF_000001405.40. Taxonomy (NCBI): domain Eukaryota; kingdom Metazoa; phylum Chordata; class Mammalia; order Primates; family Hominidae; genus Homo; species Homo sapiens. The sequence continues at coordinate 27,332,285 of NC_000002.12, read as the reverse complement.
TAATCCCAGCACTTTGGGAGGCTGAGGCAGGAGGATCGCAGCCCAGGAGTTGGAGACTGGGCCACATGGTGAAACCCCATCTTTAACTAACTAGCTAACTAACTAAATAAATGGGATCATACTGTGTAAAGTATTCTAAAAATGTATTAAATTTAATTATATCTTAATTTTATAGAAGAAAAAGACACTAAAGTCACACTGAAATATTGGCTAAGCTCCTGATGAATGTTCCTTCACTATAAGCGACACTAGTTCCTCCAAGATACTTTTAGAATTAAAAAGACTATAAATAAGTTACAAATAATATTAAGTAGTTGGAGTTATTAGGTTTTGTTTTGTTTTATTTTCAGATAGGGTCTCACTCTGTCACCCAGGCTGGAGTGCAGTGGCAAGATCTTGGCTCACTGCGTCCTGGACTTCCTGGGCTCAAGCAATGCCCCAGCCTCAGCCTCTGGAGTAGTTGGGACTACAGGAACGAGCCACAATGCCTGGCTAATTTTTGTATTTTTTGTAGAGACGGGGTTTCGCCATGTTGCCCAGGCTGGTCTTCACCTCCTGAGCTCAAAGTGATCTGCCTGCCTCAGCCTCCTAAAGTGCTGGGATTACAAATGAGAGTTACCATGCCTGGCCTAGATTGTTATTTTTAAATGACAGTGTTATTGGCCAAGTGTGGTGGCTCATGTCGGTAATCCCAGCACTTTGGAAGGCCGAGGCGGGCAGATCACCAGGTCAAGAGATCGAGACCATCCTGGCCAACATGGTGAAACCCTGTCTCTACTAAAAAATACAAAAATTAGCTGGGCAGGATGGCGCGTGCCTGTAGTCCCAGCTACTCAGGAGGCTGAGGCAGGAGAATCGCTTGAACTGGAAGGCAGATGTTACAGTGAGCCAAGATCGTGCCACTGCACTCCAGCCTGGCAACAGAGTGAGACTCCGTTTCAAAAACAAAATGACAGTGTTGTTTTTAGATATAAGTAGACTTTCTGCTAGGAAGATAAGGAAATTAGCACTCTTACACGTCTTTTTATCATCCCTTTCGCCATGTTTTTTCTTTTGGTGGTATTATTCTTACATTGTCAAGGTACATGATTCTCGATGCTGTTCTGCTTTCTTAATTCCTAAACTTGATTGAGTGCCTCTACCAGTCCATTTATCTTAGTCTCCCCTCCAATTGCTGAATTATTTATATTGCATGGCTATAATTCATCGTCAACAAACTTTTTCAAGAAAGGTTCATAGGTGCTGCATTCATTCCCTGAGTGGCTCAGCCTTCTGAGTAGCTGAGACTACAGGCATGCGCCACCACACCAGGCTATTTTATTTTTTTTGAGACAGGGTCTGTGGGGTCCAGGCTGGAGTGCAGTGGCATGATCTTGGCTCACTGCAACCTCTATCTCCCGAGTTCAAGCAGTTCTCCCACCTCAGCCTCCTGAGTAGCAGGGATTACAGGTGCATACCACCAAAGGCCAGCTAATTTTTGTATTTTTAGTAGAGATGAGATTTCACCATATTGTTCAGGCTGGTCTCAAACTCTGGACCTCAGGTGATATGTCCACCCTGGCCTCCTAAAGTGCTGAGATTACAGGCATGAGCCATCGTGCCTGGCCTTTTTTTATTTTTTAGAGGTGGGGTCTCACTATATTGCCCAGGCTGGTCTCAAACTCTTGGGTGCAAGTGTTCTTCCTGCCTTTACCTCCCAAAGTGCTAGGATTACAGGCATGAGCCATTGCACCTAGCAACATTGTGTTGCTTTTGACTTTTTGCCTGTTCTCTTTGTCTTGGGGCAGAGTTAGCGAACATTTTCTTTTTTTTTTCTTTTTTTTTGAGGTGGAGTCTCGTTCTGTCTCCCAGGCTGGAGTGCACTGGCGTGATCTCGGCTTACTGCAACCTCTGCTTCCTGGGTTCAAGTGATTCTCATGTCTCACCCTCCCAAGTAGCTGGGATTACAGGTGTACACCACCACACTGGCTAATTTTTTTTTGTATTTTTAGTAGAGATGGGGGTTTTACCATGTTGGCCAGGCTGGTCTTGAACTCCTGACCTCAAGTGATCCACCCGCATTGGCCTCCCAAAGTGTTGAGATTACAAGTGTGAGCCACTGCGCCTGGCTTCCTAGAGTTTTTATGCTTTTTTTTTTTTTTTTTTGAGACGGAGTCTGCTCTTGTCACTCAGGCTGGAGTGCAGTGGCACAATCTCACTGCAAGCTCCGCCTCCTGAGTTCAAGCGATTCTGCTGCTTTAGCCTCCCGAGTAGCTGGGATTACAGACACCCACCACCACATCTGGCCAATTTTTTGTATTTTTAGTAGAGACGGGGTTTCACCATGTTGATCAGGCTGGTCTCAAACTCCTGACCTCAGGTGATCCACCACCTGCATTGGCCTCCCACAGTGTTGAGATTACAGGCATGAGCCACCGTGTGCCCCACCTATGCTTTTTAAAAGTCCCTTGACGTTTATTTATAGGGAGTAGAGAGAGGTGCATTCTACTCTCTGCACTAGGTGTGTTCACCCTATCATTTTTCAACTGTAGATTCCAGACAAAGCTATTACTTTTTTGTTGATGAGAATTAGGGTTAAAATACCAGGTTGAGTCTTTAAGCCCTGGAGGGAGTGTTGGATAGCTAATCAGGATCCCCACATCCTTTCATAGTGGTTTGGATCTGAGGGTAGAAGACAAAGGTCCTAGGAGCCCAGAGAAAGAAATTAGAGCAAGGAAGAGAGAACTTGCTTTTAATGCTCACACATTCTGTCCTTATTTCAGGCATGGTGGTTTTCTGGAACCTTCCCACTAACTCACCCCTGCAGCGGATACGGCTCTCTGATGGCTCCTTAAAGCTCTACCCCTTCCAGTGTTTCCTAGCCCATGACCAGGCTGTGCGTACCCTTCAATGGTGCAAAGCTAACAGGTATGGAATAGGAGGTATGTGGAGGGGGAAGGTGAAGACTGGGACAGGCTGACTTCCGGATTTGTTTGGATTTGACCTTCTCCCGTCTTTTTACAGCCATTTCCTTGTCTCTGCGGGGAGTGACCGGAAAATCAAATTCTGGGACCTTCGACGTCCTTACGAACCCATAAACTCTATCAAGCGCTTCTTGAGTACAGAACTGGCCTGGCTGCTTCCCTACAATGGTGTCACTGTGGCTCAGGACAACTGCTATGCCTCGTACGGCAAGATGGAGATAGGACCTCTAGGGACAGGCCCTAAGGGTTGGAATGCAAAGCATGCCAGATTGTTGTGGGGAGAGGAGGGTAGAGAGTTGGTTCACTGAGGTGGTTTAAATTCTGGAAGAGGTTAAGAAGAAGAAATGAATCTAAAGAAAAGGAAGGTTTAAATTTATTTCTCTTTTAACAGTTATGGACTCTGTGGGATTCATTATATTGACGCTGGTTACCTTGGTTTCAAGGCCTACTTCACTGCTCCTCGAAAAGGCACCGTTTGGGTGAGCCCCCCTTTCTTTTGCAGTCTTCATTACAAAGGAAAATGGCTCATTTATGCACTATTAGTAGTCAGAGGCAGTAGTTTTGGGTAGAAGGAGAAGATAGGGATGTTGTAACTCTATCATCAGGGCTGTCGGTTATGGTAAACTCATTTTTGTTTGTGTGTCTGTCTCTCAGACTGTGCAGCTGTTACCAGTTCATAGCTCTGAATGAATATATGAATGAATGAAATCTGTCTCTTTCTATTAGAGTCTTTCAGGATCCGACTGGCTTGGGACAATAGCTGCAGGAGATATATCCGGGGAGCTCATTGCTGCTATATTACCAGATATGGCACTGAATCCAATAAATGTCAAGCGACCTGTAGAGCGAAGATTTGTACGTATACGAACATCTAACAGCAGCTGTTGGATCCTAACCCACATGCCCTCCCAAATTCTGGTAGAGTACAAACTAGTGTCAGGTCTCCCGGCCCTGATATCCCAGAAAATCTTAGCACAGAGTTGTATATAATCTTCCCTACCGTACTGCATCTGAGCATATATTTAAAGATACTACTTTTTTCCATCTTTAAGCCTTTCCTGCCCAAACCACTTTCCTCTGCTTTTATTCTGTCTTGAGTATTATAGAACCTAATTTCATGGTCTCCTTTCCAGCCTATATATAAAGCAGATCTGATACCGTATCAGGACAGTCCTGAAGGTCCAGACCATTCTTCTGCTTCATCTGGGGTCCCCAACCCTCCTAAGGCTCGAACTTACACTGAAACTGTCAACCATCACTACTTGCTCTTTCAAGACACAGATTTGGTAAGCTGAGGCCAGGAGAATGGGTGTGGTATTAGAAAAGGTAGAAAACTTTAGTCTTTGTATAGTACGCAAGCCTGAGTTCAGCACAAAGATGTAAAACTAAGGAGCCTCGGCCAGGTGCAGTGGCTCATGCCTGTAATCCCAGCAGTTTGGGGGGATTAGGCGGGCAGATCACAAGGTCAAGAGATCAAGACCATCCTGGCCAACATGGCGAAACTCCGTCTCTACTAAAAATACAAAAATTAGCTGGGCGTGGTGGCGCGTGCCTGTAGTCCCAGCTATTCAGGAGGCTGAGGCAGGAGAATCACTTGAACCCAGGAGGTGGAGATTGCAGTGAGCCAAGGTCACACCACTGCACTCCAGCCTGGCAACGCAGCAAGACTCCGTCTCAAAAAAAAAAAAAAAAAAAAAAGGGCCAGGCGTAGTGGCTCACACCTGTAATCCTAGCACTTTGGGAGGCTGAGGTGGGCGGATCACCTGAGGTCAGGAGTTCAAGACCAGCCTGACCAACATGGTGAAACCCTGTCTACTAAAAATACAAAAAATCTGCCGGGCGTGACGGCGGGCGCCTGTAATCCCAGCTACTCAGGAGGCTGAGGCGGAGAATCACTTGAACCTGGGAAGCACAGGTTGTAGTGAGCTGCCAAGATCGCGCCACTGCACTCCAGCCTGGGTGACAGAGCGAGACTCCGTCTTAAAAAAAACAAACGAGCGTCTCACTTTCTCTCTCCTATTCCATTTCCCTTCCCCAGGGTTCATTCCATGATCTGCTCCGTAGAGAACCAATGCTGCGCATGCAGGAGGGAGAGGGGCATTCTCAACTCTGCCTGGACAGGCTGCAGCTGGAGGCTATTCATAAGGTAGTCTCTCATCCTCTCCACCCTCCACTCTCATTTCCCCCCAGTTCTGGGCCTGGGGCTGATGAAATGGTAGATGAAAAGGTTACACAGATGACAACCTCCTCCTCCTCCAGAGCATGACAGACGTACCTCATTCACTGGCTTTTCATTCTTACCTCTGTCACCCCTCATGGTCCTGTCCTTTCAGATTGTGGCTCATTTTTTTTTTTTGTTCATACAGCTAGGAGTCACCCTAAAGCACCACCCATGAGCATCTCTCTCTTGTTTTCTGTTCTCTTCACAGGTACGTTTCAGCCCAAACCTGGACTCCTATGGATGGCTGGTATCTGGGGGGCAGTCAGGGCTGGTTCGAATCCATTTTGTCCGTGGACTCGCCTCCCCACTGGGCCACCGTATGCAGCTTGAAAGCCGAGCCCACTTCAATGCTATGTTCCAACCATCCTCCCCCACTAGACGGCCTGGCTTCTCTCCAACCAGCCATCGCCTTCTGCCCACTCCCTAGCCTTGGCCCACACCAGATCCTTGGAGTGAAGTCGGTCAAGAACAAATGGCCCCTATGCACAGAGCCATAGGAACTGGGGGCCTTCCCTGGACAGTGATCATGCCAGGCCTGGACCTTTAGGCCTGCCTCCCCAGGACTCCTTAGATCCCACTCTTTCTACAGACTTCTGTGATCACAGCCCCCTGCGGGCAGGGGGGCTCTCCCTCCACCAACTCTCAAGGCTCCTCAGCCTAAGACTATGGCTCATGAGAAACACTCAGGCCTGACCTAGGCTTGGGAGTCAAACTGCTCATATTGAGCATATTGTTAAGTGGGTAAAGCCAAGTAAAGGTACTGGGTGTTTTTGTGACCACTTGTGAATGGGTGTATGGAGAACTGAAAAGGGTATCTGCATGAAGGCTCCTGTCTGACTATTCCAGGATCCAATATTACTGCCTTCTGAAACTTCCTCTTTAGGGTAACCATCATGTATGCCCACGAGGGTGATAGTAATTCGTGAGACTGAAGTTGCTTAGAGTACTTCTTTGACCAAGGAATACCACAGACACCCTACCGATAGAACAGTGGCTCAGATCTTACTTGCTCCTGCTTACGAAGTATTCCCAATCACTGGTCATCTGACCCTACTTGAACACTCCTGAACAGTCATGTTTTTTAAAATCTTCCTTTATATCAAGTCAGAGAGTATACTTCTATAAATTTCACTCATGGATGTTAGGAAATCTAGTCATCTTCCCTGTGATTGCCCTGTTAAGTATTTAACCATAGCTATCATGTGTTTCCCAAATCTTCTCTAGATTAAATATCTTCAGTTACTTCAACCATTCTTTTACACGTCATGATTTTTGATCCTTCATGATACTGTCACATTGTTGACTCATTAGAATGTTTACCTACTTCAGTTCTATGTATAGGAGGTGTTTAGAACCCAAGTACTGTAATGTATTGTTATATCTCATCTTGTTAGAGTCCTCTTGTGGGATGCTGCAGACTCACAGTGACTATGATACTGCCTCCTAAGCAAGGACACACCCCAGTGATGAGAAATAGGCAAACCATGGTCTTGAAATGCCTAGGAGTATAGGCTGGGGTTTGGAGGGAAATAGTTGGATGACCTCAGGAAATAGAAAAAAACAGGCAGCTGCTTTTTGGAGAGAGTGGAGATGAGATCAGTGCCTACCTGGAACAAAACCCTCTGGCATTCTAGACTGGCTGAATATGTAGTGTAGGGACTTTATCATCTGTCAGAAAATCTCCTTTAAGAAGAAGCGATCAAGAAGTTTAGTCCTGGCCAGGTGTGGTGGCTCACGCCTGTAATCCCAACACTTTGGGAGGCCAAGGCAGGCGGATTACTTGAGGTCAGAAGTTCAAGACCAGCCTGGCCAATGTATGGTGAAACCCCGTCTCTACCAAAAATGTAAAAAATTAGCCAGGTGTGATGGCACACACCTGCAATCCCAGCTACTCAGGAGGCTGAGGCAGAAGAATCATTTGAACCTGGGATGCAGAGGTTGCAGTGAGCCGAGATCCTGCCACTGCACTCCAGCCTGGGTGACGGAGCGAGACTCCGTCTCAAAAAGAGTTCAGCCCCTATCCTGTACAGATGAGAAAATAGACCTGGAGGAAACCCAAGTCTATCAACAGCAGAGACCACAACCCATGTCAGTGCAAAGAAGCCAAGTGTTGCACTACCCTATTGGGATCCAGCTCACATTGAGCCAGTTTTGTTTTTTGAGCTGTTACGCAAGTGCCTTCTGTCGAAGAGAAGCTTTACTCAATTCTACAGGGCAGCCCCCTTCCTATTTTCAGTGGTAGAAAAGATGAGACCTGGGGATCCACACTTGAGGCTGTAGATTGGTGCTGGCAGCCCTGCTTCTGCAACTGAGTCTCAGCCCTAGTCTTGACCTTGTTCTTTTTCTCTAACAAGCCTTTTCTCTTTCTAACCCTCCCTCCCAATATACCCACTTCATACTATCCATTGTTCATACACTTCTCTACCTTTATTCCTCTTCTCATATTCCTCCCTTCGCCAGAGTGTCTTTTTCCACCATCTTCACCTGAGTTCAATTCATCCTTCAAGGTCCCGGCTCAAATTCCACCTTCACCAAAGAGCTTCCCAGTTTTCTCCAGTAAAAAATAGTTTCCCTCCCTTGTGTTCCCAAGGGGGAAGGGAGGAAAAAGGATAAACAAGCATTAAGCACTTGATCCATTTTAGGCACTTCGCATGTGTCACTTGTATGAGGTAGGTATTGCCATTTTACTTAATGATAAAAGAGTTGGAGAGGGTAAGCTGTCTGTAAAAGGTCAAGGTCATATAACTAGTAAGTGGTGGTGCTGGGGATTTGAACTCAGTCTAACTTCAGAATATAACTTTACAGCCTACCACATTTGGTCTCCTATTACATTTACTTTTGTCAGTTCACTCCTCTAGCATGCTGTTTTGCAAATAGCATTTTAGTTAAATGTTTGTGACATTGACTTCTCTTGCTTCCTTACTCTGTTTCTCCAGGATTTGTGGCAGGAGTCTCCCTGCCTTAATCATAAAGGAATTGAGTAAATTGGGGGTGGAGCTGGGCAGGTGGAGAGCCTGAAAGAGTGTGCCTCCTGACGTGTGGGCTCCCTGGAGATAAGTAAAGCCTGCCAGCCTGACAAGTCCATTGCCAGGGATATTGTAGACATTTCCAACGCTCTAGAAAGGATATTGCTCTATATTCACAGACTCTTAGAATGTTAGAGCTGGAAGGGGATTAAGAAATCACCTAGCTTACTGGTTTTCAAACATGCAGTTGTGGGCCCCGTTAAAAATGGGTCTTTTGAGAAGTATATACTTGGAAAAAAAAGTTGGAGAAGCAGCTGTAGTAATGCTGCCCCTCTCATCCCCACACACAAACATCTGAAAAATCCCTAGAACTGAGGAGCCGAGTTTGGAAAGTCAATAGTGTAACCTCCCTCATTTTACAGATGCAGAGCCTTAACATCAAGTCTAGTCATGACCAAGGCTGCACAGCCCGTTAGTTTGGGAGCCAATACCTAATGTCTTCTGAGGTTCTAATTCCAATGCTTTCTGTGGAAGAATCATACATACGCAGTATTTCTTAAGTGGCTGTTTGCGGCAAAGCACTGAAATAGTTGCTATGAGGACGACAAATATGAACGACCCCAGTTTTACCCACTCATGAGCTCACAGTTGAGGCCAGTGAAGAACCTAGAGACAAAACACGCACTTAACTATAACTTATAGTTCCCTAACTACGATTGCTGAGACAAGGATCGTAGTTATGGCCAGTTATGCGGGGAGGGTGGGCTGAACAATGAGACTACCGGATTGAGAGAGGCCCGGGTCTCGCGCGGAGAGAAGGGGCAGGAGGAGGCAGAGGGTCGAACTTAGGTGAGAAATATGGCTGGCGGGCCCCACACCAGGGTCCGGCACAGTCCAGCTGGAAAAGGGGTCTCTCACAGAGTGGGTGGCCGAGTTAGGCCGCTCTCCACGGGTATTCATGGCTCGGTCCACCCCCATTCCTGTCCTGGCTGCGTAATCCGAAGGACGCTGGGAGGAAGGGGCGGGACTTGTGGCGGAAGTTCCTAGGCCAGCCTGTCACGTGGGAGGGAGGCTCGGCGCTCAGGTGAGTGGCGGGTGATCTGCGGTCTCTGGCTTAAAGCGTCGCAAGCCATGAGTGCCCACAAGGTGTGTGGTCATCCTATATCCGGGCAGTGACGGGCCCTATTTTCGGTTTGGAGCTGGACTCAGGAAGGTTACAAACTGGTTCCAACCAAGTCTGAATCTGGAGACGGACCAAGCTATCTTTTGAGGCACCCAAGCTCTGGGTAGAAGCCAGAGCAAAGCTGTCCTCATGAGTGTCTCCGTCGGGAACGGAGGCTTCCAGGTGGTCTGGCTTCAGGAATGAGGTTGGGGTGGCTGGTGGCTGCTACCAGGAGTCCATAGCTTCCCACAGCCTTTCTCTCTTCCCCAATTGTCTAAGGCGACTCCTGCGACAGGAAGCTGTCTGGGAAGCATCCTTCATGTGGCCTCTGCCCCTTTAAGTCACATTGGAAGTGGGAAGGGGAAGGGAGTGGGCACAAGGGAATGTCAGGCGGCTTCTTAGTCGTGGAGAGGGACGGTGGGGGTGACCCCCTCTCCTCTTGGCTTGACAGGAAGCATGGCACTCTGGCGGGCATACCAGCGGGCCCTGGCCGCTCACCCGTGGAAAGTACAGGTCCTGACAGCTGGTGAGTGTCCCTCTAGGACTTGAGTGGGACCAGGGCAGACTGATTTGGAAGCCAGAGGCTTGCCCCACTGCACCACCCTCACTTCCTGTTTCTATTCGGCTCTCTTGAAGGGTTGGCTGTCTTTCATCCTACACTGTCCCCAGTCTGTTTTGGAGGGTGGTCCCCAAGGCTGTTTTTAAGGGGTATGCGTAGTTGGCCAAGCTGTGCAGTAGGGTTTTAGGATTTCAAAGTCCTCAAAAAGCTGAACAGTCAGCCCTGAAGGATAAAGGCATTGCCCCAGGAGGCCTCAACTTGGAAAACATTTTACCGTATGCAAAGCACTTTCATATACGTTATGGCATAGGGCCCCCACAAAGGTGTGTGAGCTAGGAGGGTTACTTGAGTCCACATTAGATCACACCTAATAAGTGCTGAATCAAGACTCTTACCCCAGTTTTTCTTGGTATTTTTTATTGTGAAACATACAAAAGAATGATTAAGATGTGTATGTACAGTTTAAATGGCATTAAAACTGAACACTCCTGTGTCAGTAATCAGCTTTGAGACCTCTTGAGTGCCTCTCCGTAATTCACCCAAAATTTCCTGAGTTTTGTTTATATCGTTCATTTGCTTTTGTTATCATTTACTGCCTAAATATGTATCTCCAAGGTTAGTATATTGGTATCTGATCACTCCATCCTGATCCATTTGGAGTGATCAGATACCAGTCACTCCAAATGCAGTGATTGAGTACTAACCTCACAGAGGTAATGCAGTGACCTACCTGCATTTGTTACCATCTTCATTTTGCAAGTTAGCTAATGTAAGAGGATGGCATGAAGATAAGTAAGTCTTAGAGGGGGAATGTCAGAAGGCCTTAGAACATTGGGGTGCAAAGAGTGATCACATTAAGATGAGGTCTTGCCCATGTTTAGAGAAGGGGAACAGGATTCTAGTGATGACTGGCCTTCTGAGAAGAGGACTATTGGAAGGGATTGGGGGCTACTGAAGGCCAGAGTGGAACAGGGATCCTGTGACCAGAACAGCCCTGCATCGGCACAGAAACTTAACTGCATGAATGGCCAGGAGATGGATTCTTTGGCCCTTCCCTGGGCCCCTCTCCAGTCTCCGGTGCCCAACCACCTCTTGTCCTGTCCTCAGCGTCCGTCAGCCTGTATGACTCACCTGGCTACGTGTGTGGTGACTCATGCTGGACAGTGTGGCTATGATGGGAACTGACACGCTGGGCCCTTTGCCCAGGCTCAGATTCCCTCAGGGCCCATAACTGCCAGATGGAAGATTCCCCCTTGTGGTCATCAAGAATAGGGAGGGAAAGAGTCCTTATATTTCCCTACCTGAGGCATCTGCAGCTGACAAGGGCAGGAGCTAGAGCTCCAAGGAGGCCTAGGTGCCGACATGTGGCTGGAGTTCTGGGCTCTTGGTGCTGGAGCCCTTCAGCTCCACAGCCTCAGTCTTCCTGAGGCTATGCTGACGTCCCAGCTCAGCCCTGAAGCAAAATGTAGCCTCCCAGCACTTTTCCCAGACTTTTTCAGACCATCCAGACTTTTCCTTTCCTGCTGTTCACTGTATTTGGATCAAACTACAAATAAAAGGTGGAAGTGGCTTTAGTTCACTGAGCCATTTTTGGACCCCAGCACAGTAGTTCCTAAGGTCCCATGGGATAGCTCATCACACTGGAAAACAGTACAGAGATTTCAGACTTAGAAGACCAGGATTTGAATCTTAAAACCATAGCACCTAGTAGGTGCATTAATCAGGACAAGTCAGTAAGCTTCTTTGAGCCTTAGTTTCCTCTTTTAAAACTTGAGTTTAGGGACTGGGCGCGGTGGCTCACACCTGTAATCCCAGCACTTTGGGACGCCGAGGTGGGCAGATCACGAGGTCAGGAGATCGAGACCAACCTGGCTAACACGGTGAAACCCCGTCTCTACTAAAAATACAAAATTAGCCGGGTATGGTGGCGCATGCCTGTAATCCCAGCTACTTGGGAGGCTGAGGCAGGAGAATCACTTGAACCCATGAGGCAGAGGTTGCGGTGAGCCAAGATTGTGCCATTGCACTCCAGCCTGGGCAACAAGAGCGAAACTCCATCTCAAAAAAAAAAATCAACAAAAAAAAAATCTTGAGTTTAGTTATATGACCTCACAGGGTCAGTATAGGAGTATCACTGTGAAAAGGTTTTGGACATTTTTTTTCTTTTTTTTTTTCTTCGAGATGGAGTCTTGCACTGTTGCCCGGGCTGGAGTGCGGTGGCGTGATCTCGACTCACTGCAACCTCCGCCTCCCGGGTTCAAGTGATTCTCCTGCCTCAGCCTCTTCAGCAGCTGGGATTATAGGCATGCGCCACCACGCCCAGCTAATTTTTTCTATTTTTAGTAGAGACGGGATTTCACCATGTTGGCCAGGCTGGTCTCGGACACTTGACCTCGTGATTCACCCGCCTCGGCCTCCTAAAGTGCTGGGGTTACAGGTGTGAGCCACTGAGCTCAGCCTTTTTTTCTTTTTCTTTTTTTTTTTTTTTTGAGATAAGGTGTCACCCTGTTACCCAGGCTGGAGAGTGGTGGTGCTATATCAGCTCACTGCAACCTCCGCCTCCTGGGTTCAAGCAATTATCATGCGTCAGCCTCCTGAGTAGCTGGGACTACAAGTGCACAGCACCACACCAGGCTACTTTTTTGTATTTTTAGTAGAGATGGGCTTTCTCCATGTTGGCCAGGCTAGTCTTGAACTCCTGACCTCAAGTGATCCGCCCACCTCAGCCTCCCAGAGTACTAGGATTACAGGTGTGATCCAGTAGGCCCCACCTGGAAATGTTTTTAAATGCTCAGTGAACTTAAAGACTCAACAGGTTGGTTCTTTCTATGAGTGTTGGCAACACAGGCACAATAAACTATTTTATTATTATTATTATTTGAGACGGGGTCTTGCTCTTTTGCCCAGGCTGGAGTGCAGTGGCATGATCCCATCCTGAACTGTGACTATGCCACTGCACTCCAGCCTGGGCAACAGAGGATCCTCTGCCTTAGCCTCCCGAGTGGTTGGGACCGCGGGCTTGCACCACCATGCCCAGCTAATTTCTTTTGTTTTTTGGTAGAGATGGGGTTTTGCCATATTGCCCAAGCTTTATTCTTTTTATAGTGGCGTTTGGGTTAGGTTTGTTCCACTTGCCATAATCTGAACATGGATCACTATCTTAGCCTTGGGTTCCGGAAAGCAGAGCCTGAAGCTTATGTGCAGATACCTTGTTAGGTAGTAGGGAGTGATCCCATGGAGGGAAAGAGGGAGAGCCACTCTAAGGATGCATTATTGAATTAGCCACTGCTAAGGGCAGCTGTTGCTCAGTCCCTTGGAACTGAGAAACTTTTTGAAATACTCCTTAAAGTGTCTGGGCGTGGTGGCTCATGCCTGTAATCCCAGCACTTTGGGAGGCTGAGGTGGGCGGATCACCTGAGGTCGGAAGTTTGAGACCAGCCTGGCCAACATGGTGAAACCCCGTCTCCACTAGAAATACAAAAATTAGCTGGGCATGGTGGCGGGTGCCTGTAATCCCAGCTACTCGGGAGACTGAGGCAGGAAAATTGCTTGAGCCTGGGAGGCGGAGGTTGCAGTGAGCTGAGATTGCGCTACAGCACTCCAGCCTGGGCGACAGAGCGAGACTCCATCTCCAAAAAAAAAGAAAAGAAAAGAAAAGAAATACTCTTTAGGACTGTCTGGATGAATAGCTATTTTCTAGAGAAAAGAAGAAACCTTTATCTGCCACTCCCATCCCACAATGGTCAAAGATTCCAAAGACTTACCCCAGGCTGGGTATGGTGGCTCACCAGCACTTTGGGAGGCCGAGGCAGGCAGATCACTTGAGGTAAGGAGTTCGAGACCAGCCTGGCCAACATGGTGAAGTCCCGTCTCTACTAAAAATACAAAAATTAGCCGGGCATGGTGGCGCATGCCTGTAATCCCAGCTACTCAGGAGGCTGAGGCAGGAGAATTGCTTGAACCCAGGAAGTAGAGGTTGCAATGAACCAAGATCCTGCCACTGCACTCCAGCCTGGACGACAGAGCGAGACTCCATCTGAAAAAAAAAAGGCCGGGCGCAGTGCTCACGCCTGTAATCCCTGCGCTTTGGGAGGCTGAGGTGGGTGGATAACCTGAGGTCAGGAGTTCGAGACCAGCTGACCAACAAGGTGAAACCCCATCTCTGCTAAAAATACAAAATTAGCTGGGTGTGGTGGCAGGTGCCTGTAGTCCCAGCTACTTGGGAGGCGGAGACAGGAGAATTGCTTGAACCTGTGAGGCAGAGGTTGCAGTGAGCTGAGATTGTGCCACTGCACTCCAGCCTGGGTGACAAAGCAAGACTCTGTCTCAAAAAAAAAAAAAAAAAGAAAAGAAAGATTGACCTCATGGGATAACTCCGCTCCGCTACTAGTTCACACATGCATAGTCACTGCAGCCATCAATAGCAAAGGCCCAGGTGTGGCACAGGCCTGAAGCAAGAATCTATCCAGTAGAACTGCAGTAATGGCTGGAGTAAGAGATAGTGAATCAAGAACATTTGAAATGATTCAAAAGAAATGTCTAGTATACCAGTTTTGGCCAAGCCAGAGTCCAGAACAAGGTAGCCTGGGGAAAGGTTTACTGTATGTTCTATGGAGTGTGAGTCAGCCTTATCCCTTCCTTCTTTGAGGGCCCTTCCACTCTCCAGTGGGCCCAGGGCCGAGCTTCATCCATCTTAGTCTACTCGGTCCTGCTGTGGGAGCAGCTGAGCTCTTACAAATACTGGTTTCCCTGGAGTCTGAATTAAGCCAGGGTATGAGAGCTCAATAGGCCTTACATACAATCCTGTCCAGCCCAGGAGACTGCAGAGAAGGAAACTGAGGCAGGAGTGGGAGTGTCATGCACTGAGGTCTCAGATAGTCAGTGGCTGAGCTGGCGTTATAACCTAGGGCACTGCCCACCATACTGCCTTGCACTTGAGACTACTGGAGCCTCCAGATGCTGAGTGCAACCCCAGCTGATCTGAGCTTAGATACGTAACAAGCTGCAAAACTACCCGTTTTGTCTCATTTTCTAGCAGTAGGATGGGTTCAGGTCAGAAATGGGAGAGCATTCAGAATAATCCCAGAGGATCCACTCCCCTCCCGCTGCTGGGCTTCCACTCCCTCTGGGCTCTGTGCCAGACTGAGCCCCTATCCTAGGCAGCTAACTAATGTTTGCAGACTTCTGGGGAGGAAGGCAGCACTGCTGGCCCCATGCCAGTAGCTATACCTGCCGACCCAGGCCTCCTGGACTGAAGGACACGCTTCCTGCTCCTCACTCCAAGAAGCCACTTCTTGCCCCTCTGCCTTCTGCGCATGAAACTCAAAAGCCACAAAAGTAAGTAGAGGAACAAAATAGGAGAAGTAGGGAATTTACCCTGCCCATGCCCGGGAAGAGGGTGTGGAAGTTGGGGCTTTTCCACTAGTGGGCAGGAAGTGGTCCCAAATTGATCTGCTCAGAGGCAGGCTCCCTTCCCCCTGGCCGCTGGATCTGTTCGGGAGTGACGGCATGAGAACTGGCACCTACCCAGGGGCATGATGTCACACCTGCGCCAGCATCTGCTCGCTGGGCTCCACGCCCAGCCTGTCATTGGGCATCACTGCCCAGCAGCCCCTAGCCCTGCCCCATCAGGCCTCTGGCCATTATGTGTCTGCAGGCCTCCAGTCCCAACTCCCTAGAAACAAGTCCAAGGGGAGGGGGCCCAGAGCACTGGAGAGTCCAGACCAACCAAATATATCCAGGAGATCTCCCAGAGGCTGGGGTGGTTTGGGTCTATTTGGGCTCTGGGTTGGGAAATGTGGGATGAGGAATCTGAATGTCTGGGTCCTTCCTGCCCAAAGGGTCACTTGGGCTGGAAAAGCAGGCTTGCTCTATGCTTGCTCCAAAGCCTTATACCACCTTGGAGTTGCTGCAGGCACAGGGGGCCTGATCATCTGTGGGCAAAGGAATCCCTGGGCACCACTCTTCTGAAATGAACCGTCAGGGACTGCAGATCTACATACCACCTACTCACCCCTACTGCTGCCCTGTCACTTGGTAGTCCCTCAGGCTTGATGGGCACAGTCTGGGGGACTTGAATCCATCTTTCTCCAAGGCTGCAGGCTTCCAGAACTATGGGGCTAGAAGTCAGGGACTTGGCTTTTCATTCCAGCTCTGCCTCTAGCTTGTTGTGTGACTGTTGGCAAGTCATGAAGAGTGAAAACACACACTTCTCTGTTTCTTTCCCAGGAATATTGCTGTCTGCCATCCCCACGAGGTGACAAGGAGCAGAATGATGGAATTTGGGGGAGTAAAGACAGAGAGGAAGTGCATTAGTCTAGGGAATGTCCTTTGATATGCAGGCCCTTTGGGGCCTCACTTGGGCAGGAACACCCAGCAGGGGAGCAGCCACAGGGGCCTCCTGGTGCCACTGACCTCTGAGCCCATCTCAGCCCATGCCAGGAATACCCTGGCCTCCTTGGTCCTCCTTGAGAGAAGGCCTGGGTTCAGTTCCAACTGCACTCCTTACCAAGTCATCTCATCTCTCAAAGACTCATCATTAAATGGGGGTGTAGGCTGGGTGCCGTGGCTCACACCTATAATCCCAACACTTTGGGCGGCCAAGGCAGGTGGATCACCTGGGGTCAGGAGTTTGAGACCAGCCTGGCTAACATGGTGAAACCCCATCTCTACTAAAAATACAAAAATCAGCCAGGTGTGGTGGTGGGCACCTGCAATCCCAGCTACTCAGGAGGCTGAGGCAGGAGAATCGCTTGAACCCGGAAGGCAGAGGTTGCAGTGAGCGGAGATCGCACCACTGCACTCCAGCCTGGGCGACAGAATGAGACTCCATCTCAAAAATAAATGAGTGAATGAATGAATGGATGAATGGAGGTGTGACCACCTACCTCCCAGATCTTTTGTGAGGATTAAATGTATAAGAGTCTTTTGTAAACACCTTACCAAAGTAGACCGTTACACTGTTGGTCCCTTCATTTGAGAAAGGACTGCCTTTTCTGCCTCACCATCCCCTGGCCTTCTTGGCAGCACTCTTCCCTTTCTGCAGGGCTGCAGCAGCTCCCTCTCATCCCTGGCTGGAGGGATAGGGAACCGGGTGCGGGTGGGAGCAAACCTGCAGTTCCCCCGACGTCCTCACACCTTCTACCCGACTTGGACCTTTGGGCAACTTAAGAATTCTTCAGACCCTTTCTCAGAGTCGTCCTGCTGTTTGGGACAGTACATTTGACGTTTTCCCTTTATTTTCTGAGCACCTACCAGTAGCTTGCTTAGCTGCATGGTGAGGGGATGGGATAACAAAGGTATCTAGGATTCTATCCTTGGCCCTGGGAGGTCATGCCTCGCAGTGTTCTGGGAAGACCCCCACCACTTTGGGAGTTTCAGGGAGAGACGAGGCAGGACTGGGGGTGCCCAGAGCTGCTCCATGGCCAGTAGCCGAGGTGAGCCACGGGTTTCCATCCCCAACCCCAGCTCTCAGCCATACCCAGCTGCCACTGACTAGGCTGCTCAGGGGCAGGGCCGGCCGGGCAGAGGGTGTGGAGGAAGAACGCAACAGTGAGTGTGCAGCCAGCATGGACGTCAGAGCCAGTTCTGGGCCAAGGAATGGGGCAGAAGGATGTGTTTGTCCAGTGCTAATTGAGGGCACAGGGACAGTGTGACTGTGGGTCTGGAGGGGGGCTCTCATTACTCGGTGAGATAGACAGGTGAGCTGGAAATCACACGGTCACTCCCAAGTGGCCTGGTAAGTGTGTATTTGCTAGAAACCATCACACCACCATAATGGACTGGGGGCTCTGTAAACAGTGATGATTTCTTTCATCGTTTCTGGGTGTGGGTGTCTAAATAGGGCTGCTTGGAGCTGGGTATCTGTGCAGTTGGGGCAAGGGAAGCAGGTGCAGAGTCCTGGAAGGGAAATGACCACTATATCCATTGCCAACTCAATCTAAGGTTGTGAATGGGGGAAATCTTGGTTTAGCTGATTGTGCTAAGAGGTGGCCAAGACTCTTTGTTGTGGGGACTCTTATCAGCTCAACCAGTCATCTTCCTGCTTATGACCATTTGAGCACTCTTGTTTTATTACTTTTTTTTTCTTTTTGAGATAGGGTCTTGTTCTGTCGCCCAGGCAGCAGTGTAATGGCGTGATCACTGCAGCCTGGACCTCCTGGGCTCAAACAGTCCTCCTACTTCAGCCTCCTGAGTAGCTGGGACTACAGGCACGTGCCACCGTGCCCAGCTAATTGTTTAAAAAAATTTTTTGTAGAAGTGGGGTCTTGCTATATTGCCCAGGCTGGACTCAAACTCTTGGGCTCAAGCAATCCTCCTGCCTCAGCCTCCCAGAGTGCCGGGATTACAGGTGTGAGCCACCATTCCAGGCCGGCACTCTTGTTTTAGAAAAAGATTTATTCTGGCCAGGCACAGTGGCTTATGCCTGTAATCTCAGCACTTTGAGAAGCCGAGGTGAGCAGATCACCTGAGGTCAGGGGTTCAAGATCAGCCTGGCTAACATGGCAAAACCCCATCTCTACTAAAAATACAAAAAATAGCCAGGCATGGTGGTGGGTGCCTGTAGTCCCAGCTACTTGAGAGG
The DNA here is from genome assembly GCF_000001405.40 of Homo sapiens. Lineage (NCBI taxonomy): Eukaryota > Metazoa > Chordata > Mammalia > Primates > Hominidae > Homo > Homo sapiens. The sequence continues at coordinate 27,313,830 of NC_000002.12, read as the reverse complement.
CTGAGGCAGGGGAATCGCTTGAATCGGGAGGCAGAGGTTGCAGTGAGCCAAGATCATGCCACTGCACTCTAGCCTGGACAACAGAGTGAGACTCAGTCTTTAAAAAAAAAAGTTATTCTTGCTGTTCTCTACAAATAGAGATCCCCTAGACCAAGGTGAAAGCTGTTGGCAGGGTCTTGCATTGGGCTTGGGGGAGAAAACAGGGTTTCCTACCATTCTACACATGATTTATTCATTGTGCTGAGTCCTGGAAAGAACAGTGTCTAGGAATCCAGCCACCTGGTTGTTGCATTGGCCCTGCACTTACTGGTTATGTGAGACCCTGGACTTCATTTCCATACCTCTAAAATAAGTGGTTTGCATTAAATTATCTTAAAGCCCCTTTTGATTCTGACAGTCTGTGGTTCTCAGCCCTGTGGCCTTAAATTCTCCTTCCTCTCTCTATACTTTCTGACTCTGACTTCCCTTTACTGCTCAATGCAAAGTTCCTGGACCTGGGTCTGCTCATCCCAGTTTCTGACAGAATACACATGAGGTGTCACCATCATTGGGGAGGTGAGGGCTTTGAGGCAGCAGGAAGGGACTAGTCATTTGTTTCCACAATGAAGCCCTGGGGTTCAGAGTACCAGAGCCTCAGTGGAGGTCAGCAGATGTCCCTCCCTCCTTGGAATGGCAGCCCATCCCAGGAGATGTCCTGACAACACCTGTGTACCCTGCATAGGGTCCCTGATGGGCCTGGGTGACATTATCTCACAGCAGCTGGTGGAGAGGCGGGGTCTGCAGGAACACCAGAGAGGCCGGACTCTGACCATGGTGTCCCTGGGCTGTGGCTTTGTGGTAAGTTCTCCCCTCAACAGGGCTTCAGTGGACTCAACAGTGGTCTTAGTTCTTTGCCATCCTTTGGCTTCCCTTGGACTCTCACACCTAAGCCAACCTGCCGCCCTCTTTTTTCTTAGTGTCCACTTCCCCTATTCTGATACTTGGGGCAGGGAGCTTAGTGAGGTAGAGGCCTAGGGCTCCCTCACTGCAGCCTGCTGCTATCTGGGGTTTACTTCCAGGGCCCTGTGGTAGGAGGCTGGTACAAGGTTTTGGATCGGTTCATCCCTGGCACCACCAAAGTGGATGCACTGAAGAAGATGTTGTTGGATCAGGTGAGCAGGAGAACAGAGTGGGGAGGGTGAGCTGTGTTGGGGGTAGGTGGGGATTTCAGCACTCATAGGACTTTAATTTCTCTTCCCTAGGGGGGCTTTGCCCCGTGTTTTCTAGGCTGCTTTCTCCCACTGGTAGGGGCACTTAATGGACTGTCAGCCCAGGACAACTGGGCCAAACTACAGCGGGTGAGCTGGGCAGGTGTGGAGAATGTCTCTGGCTGGCGGGCTGACAGCCCAGGGGAAGAAGACAGGTTTTACAGGGATAAAAAAGGGGGTAAGTGCAGGTAGGGCCCCAGGCCATGGAGGAGAGGAGCTGAGGGTTATGGTGCAGGAATGTGCTCTTTGAACCCAAGTCTGTGTGTGACATTCATACTGGGAAGTGGGAGCTGCTTGGAGGCGCAAGTGTTAATTTGTTCCTTCTCTGTCTCCCCAGGATTATCCTGATGCCCTTATCACCAACTACTATGTAAGAGCTGACACCTCAACTGCTTGTTCTCCTGCTTCCTTAAGTCTAGAACTGTCCTGGGATTGGGGGGTCCTCCTGACATGGGAAACCCTTCCGTTGGGATTACTCTTTCATTCCCAGGATGGGCACCATAAATAGGGAAGCCATCACCCAACTGTTCACCTTTTTCTTGTGTGCAGAAGTTGGGGTAGGGCCAGGCAAGACAGTGAGTCTGGGGTCAGGTGGTGGGGCAGCCATCCAACCTTTACATTTTCTCTTGCAGCTATGGCCTGCTGTGCAGTTAGCCAACTTCTACCTGGTCCCCCTTCATTACAGGTATGTTGCACCCCTACCCCACCCATCAAGGAAGACCCACGTTACCAACAGTTGGAGACAAAATGATTCTCATTTCAACCTTGAGCTACCTTAGACCCCCAAACGGAACACTGAGCCGTGATCAGAGTTCCTCAGATTCCCAAGCGTGTTATTCAGAATGTCTTGCCATTTCCGGAAACTGTCCCAGAGTGTCTGCCCACTGACCTTCTTCATCTCCCTAGGGAGGATCCTGCTTCTACCACCCTTGTCTCCATCCCACCTGAGCTCCGTCTTTGATGGCATATCTGGAGGGACAGTGGCTGGGGTGCTGCAGCCTAGGTTAGACAGAGAGGTAGACCAGAAGGCCAAGTAGGAGCCTGGTCAGACACTCACAATAAAGACAGTTGCTGAACTGCACCCAAAAAGATAGTGGCACTGAAGATGTGTGGTTCAAATGCTTGAAGGTGAAGGATCGTGGGAACAGGGGAAAATATGGAACGCTTCAGAGGGAACAGGGCCAAAATGTACATGAGTAGCATAGCTAAAACGAATACAGACTGGCTGGGCACGGTGGCTCACACCTGTAATTCTAGCACTTTGGGAGGCTGAGGCAAGAGGTTTGCTTGAGTCCAGGAGTTTCACACCAGCCTGGGCAATATAGTGAGACCTCATCTCTACAGAAAATACAAAAAATTAGCCAGTCACATGGTAACATGTGCCCGTAGTCCCAGCTACTCGGGAGGCTGAGGTGGGAGGATCACTTGAGCCTGTGAGATGGAGGTTGCTGTGAACTGAGATTGTGCCACTGCATTTCAGCCTGGTGACAGAGTGAGACGACCCTGTCTCCAAAAAAAAAAAAAAAAAAAAAAAAAAAAAAGGCTGGACACAGTGGCTCACGCCTGTAATCCCAACACTTTGGGAGGCTGAGGCAGGTGGATCACAAGGTCAGGAATTCGAGACCAGCCTGGCCAATATGTTGAAACCCTGTCTCTACTAAAAATACAAAAATTAGCTGGGTGTGGTGGCAGGTGCCTGTAGTCCCAGCTACTCGGGAGGCTGAGGGAGGAGAATCGCTTGAACCTGGGAGGCGGAGGTTGCAGTGAGCCAAGATCTTGCCACCGCACTCCAGCCTGGGCAACAGAGCGAGACTCCGTCTCAAAAAAAACCCGAAAAAACAAAAAAGGAATACAGACTTATGAACCAAATCCTAAACATTAGGGTCCTTTGCAACACTCTTTGAAACCAGAGCAAGGTTAATTTAAAACAGAAAGATGCTACTTTATATGATAGTCCGTACATTTCGGAAGATGAAATCTCAGCTGGTACAAGACAGATCAATGAACTTAGAAGGGGCCCAGATAGGGGCCCTTTCTGTGATTAACAGAGCTATGCATGGCAAGAGAGCCGCTGAATATTTAGCCTTTGAGGCTCTCAGCCAGGAAACAGAGCTCTGGGATGGCACTAGAATTTGAGCCAGTTGTCCTTTAGTGCAAGCCACACAGGCCCTTCATAGGGTGCTGAAAGGGCTGGGTGTCGTGGCTCACACCTGTAATCCCAGCACTTTGGGAGGCCGAGGTGGGTGGCTCACTTGAGGTCAGGAGTTCGAGACCAGCCTGGCCAACATGGTGAAACCCTGTCTCTCCTAAAAATACAAAAATTAGCCAGGTGTGGTGGAGCACACCTGTAGTCCCAGCTACTTGGGAGGCTGAGGCACGAGAATTGATTGAACCCGGGAGGCAGTGAGCCAAGATTGTGCTACTGCACTCCAGCCTGGGCAACAGAGGAGACTCCATCTCAAAAAAAAGGTGCTGAAGGAAAGAGACCTAAACCTGCCAATCCTTTGTCATGATCCCTCCTTTGCCATTTCATGCTCCCATCTCCAGCCCTTGCTCACTGCTTAGCCTTCCTCCTCTTCATTGTGTTATTCCTGTTCCTTAGGTTGGCCGTTGTCCAATGTGTTGCTGTTATCTGGAACTCCTACCTGTCCTGGAAGGCACATCGGCTCTAAGCCTGCCTCACTCCATCGTTTCCACCTTGCAGTGATGCAGCTTGACCCTGGAACGGTCAGACAACCTCCTCAAAGTGGGCATACCAGTTTCCACGGGGTTGGGTTGCCGGTCAGAGCTTAAGAGGACTAGCACCCTGCAATGCCCCTCTTCACTCTAAAATGTACACTGACTGCTTTAGAGCCCTTGATAATAGTCTTATTCCCACCACATACTAGGCACTCCATAAATATCTGTTGAACCTTCATGACCTTATCAACTTTACACCCATATCCCAGCAAATGCCACTCATCCCCACTCTTCATAGACACATTTGTTACTCTAACCCTGCCTAGGCTTCTTGTAGCTCCAGCTCTTTAGAGACTCCCGGAACCCTTTATATGGTGCCTCAGTAAATATGTTATTAAATATGTAATCCGGAATCTGCAGTGGTAATGAGTAAGTTTTTAAGCAGAAAACTATTGGGGAGTCATTTCTAGAGCTGGAAAGAAGCCAAGAGACCACCAAGCCCAATTTTTTTTTTTTTTTTTTTTTTTTTTTTTGAGACAGGGTCTTGCTCTGTCTCCCAGGCTGGAGTGCAGTGGCGCGATCTTGCCTCACTGCAGCTTCCGCCTCCTGGGTTCAAGCAGTTCTCCTGCCTCAGCCTCCTGAGTAGCTGGGACCACAGGCGCATACCGCCACGCCCGGCTAATTTTTGTATTTTTAGTAGAGATGGGGTTTCGCCATATTGGCCAGGCTGGTTTCAAACTACTGACCTCGTGATCCGCCTGCCTCGGCCTCCCAAAGTGTTGGGATTACAGGCGTGAGCCACCGCGCCTGGCCAAGCCCAGTCTTACAAATGAGGACCCTGAGGTTGGTAGGAGGGAGGTGACCTGTCCACACCAGGAGTTAGCAGAAACTTGAACCCATATTTCTTTGCTGCTCATGGGCAGAGTTACACTGCTGCTATGATTCCCAGGAGAGAAACTGAACTTTGCTAAACTACTTTGGCAAACTCAAAAGCAGATGGGCCAGCCATTTGTGGTCTGAAAGCACTCGGATGCTAGAGACCCTCTGTTACATGGTGCCTGTCAGACAGCCCTACAATTTGGATCCTGGGGCTGGAAAAAGATAAGAATGCTGGGAGACTTTGGTTGTGGCAGACTGCCTCTCAGTGGGTCCCACTGTGTTGGCTGAGTGCCAGCGGTGGACTCCTGATGCCTGCATTTGCAGAACTGATAGCTGCAGGGAGGCAGTGGGTTCCAGCGGCACAGCGTTCTCACATTTCTGGCCACTTCTAGAGGCAGAGGACGGGGTCAGCACCATGGACAGCCTCACGGTCCCGCCTCCCTTTCGTGTGTCAGAACACGCGACCCGGACTAGTCTGGTCTGGGGACGGCCCTAGTCATTGCTGGCTGTTCTAAGCGGGGCGAGGGACTCCCGTGGGTCCCAGAGCAGTCTTTACGCCCCAGCCGGCTTCTCGCTTTCCTGCGTCCAGTGCTGCTTCCAGCGCTAGCCCCAGGGGCACGAAGGCTGGTGTAGGGAGGTGCGCCCCTCCGGGGGCCCGCCAGCCGTCAGACTCGAAGCTGTGGCTGTCATTGCTTCTACAATCAGTGCATGTTCTTCGCTGACGTCAGTCGGAGCTGTCCTGGCACTATATAAGGCTGGCGACAGCCCCGGGACAGACCCTGTGTTCCCCAAGGCGTCTTCAGCCTGCCCCGAGGGACAGAGACTGGAGCTCAATCTTGGACCGTACAGACGCTCGCCGACAACCTGTGAGTGGCTCAGAGCGTCCGCCCAGCCTCCCCCTGCACCAGGACTCCGCTCAGCTCAGCCACCACGCTCCTCCGGGGAGGGAGGCTGGGTGGAAGGGATGGAACAGCACTGGCGCAGTGGCTGGGGCTGGAGGGCAGGCTGCGGGCATTGGGCGGCGGCCGGAGGGGTCGCCGGGCGAGCGCGGGGAGGGGAGCGGCGGCCTGCAGCTGTCCCAGGCGCACCTCACCCTGCGCTGCCCCTGTGTGTCCAGGGCCGGCGGCACCATGAGGCAGGCGGGACGCGCAGCGCTGCTGGCCGCGCTGCTGCTCCTGGTACAGCTGTGCCCTGGGAGCAGCCAGAGGAGCCCCGAGGCGGCCGGGGTCCAGGACCCGAGTCTGCGCTGGAGCCCCGGGGCACGGAACCAGGGTGGCGGGGCCCGCGCGCTCCTCTTGCTGCTGGCGGAGCGCTTCCCGCGCCGCGCGGGGCCCGGCCGATTGGGACTCGGGACGGCAGGCGAGCGGCCGCGGCGGGACAACCCTTCTCTGTCCATTGACCTCACCTTTCACCTGCTGCGGACCCTGCTGGAGCTGGCGCGGACGCAGAGCCAGCGGGAGCGCGCCGAGCAGAACCGCATCATATTCGACTCGGTGGGCAAGTGATGGCCCGGTTTGGGGCTGCGAAAACGTTGACCCCTTTCCCCCACCCCAGAGTTGGGATGCGGGGCAGAGCCACCAGGGCACTGTCTGCGTGACTATTTTTTAATAAAAGTACTGAAGACCCGTTGGCTTTTGTCGTAGAGGCAGGGCAGTCACAGCAGCGTGGGAACCCGTGGGAAGGTGGGGCCCCCGGGCCAGCGGGAGGGGAACAAAATGCTGTGGGGGGCTCCGAGACAGCGGCTTTCAGCCAGGTCAGCCAGGTGCATGTGGACCCCAAGGGTCCCCAAATCCCCAGGACCTCAGAGGTCCCGGCACCACCGCCCCGCCCTCGGCCCTCTTCCCAGGGCGCTGGGCTCACCAGTTCGCTCCTGGCATCACAGAGGTGCCCAATAGGGGTTCATTTGGCTTCCGCCCCCCAGACGGTCTCAGGTTCTGGGAAGGGCAGGATGGTGGGCGGGTCGCCTTCGAAGCCCAGGCTGCGGGGTTGGGCAGCGAAAGGAGATACGGGTCTGGGACGCTCGAGTTCTTTATTGAGATCCTCCCGGGGCCGGCGCCGATTTGGGTGATGCTGCGGTCTCTGCGCAGATCCTCCCCGACTCTAGCGCGGGCTCTCGAGCAGGGTCGGGTCGGCGCAGGCCTGTGCCCGGGAAAGAAGGCTCGGTGGGCGGGTGCTGCGAAGGCACGAGGCAGCTCGAGCCCCGCTCACTCCGTCCCCCGCCACGTGGGTTTCTCCTCTACTCAGCCTGCCTTGCCTGCCCTCCCAGCACCCCAGAGGAACAGCGGGTGAGGAGGAAAGTGTACTTTTCCGCCCTAGGGGGCGCGCCTTTGTGGCTCCGGGGTTGGGTTGCACCGAGGAGTGGGGGCTCCACGCTACCCGCAGGGAGGGCAATCACTGGGGGAGGGGACGCGAGCACACCAGCCAGGCCCCACCCCAAGCCCCTCAGGCCGCTCTCACCTTAAGGCCCATCGGGCGGCTCTCACCTTAAGGCCCATCCGGCCGCTCTTCCTCCGGCCCCGCGCTGCCCTCCTCTCCGTCTGGGGCCACCTCCTCTTCCTCCCCGGAAGCGCCTGAGCCCAAGGAAGGCCTGGTGAGGTGGAGTCCCTGCCTTTACGGCCATCGTGCCCGCCGCACCCCCCACACAGAGGGTCCGAACCCGTCTCAGCGGCCCTCGGCCACCTCCTTCACCTGGCTGGAAGTCGATGGTCCGCAGCATTTCGGCCACGTGCTCCACCCTTACGGTGAATTGCTCCATGCTCTCATAGCCTGGCTCCGGCCGCCCTGCCAGCTCCACCTTCGACATGGCCCCGACCCTGCAGTGGCCACACGGACTCAGCTGGCAATGCCCCAGCACTCTCAAGCCCCACCCCAGCCAGTGGAGCAGTGCAGCCCCCTCCTTTCCCTTCCCGCTATGCCTACTCACTTATTGATCAGCTCCTTGGCCTGCTGCAGGGAAGAAAAGGAGGGTGAGAGTAAGCACTGGGCCAACCTGGGCAAAGTCCCATTTCTGAATCTCACCACAGTCCTGCGGGGTAGGTGGGAAGGCACGTCCCAATTCGTTAAGCAGAAAACGAACTCAGAGGGGGTGACTTGCCCAAGGTCGTAGGGGCAAGCAGGTGCAAGAGACAAGACTTGAACCCGGGACTCCAGGTACCAAGGCCCTGACTCCAGCCACTGTGCAGCGCTGCCACCCTCCCCTAGAGCCCACCTGGAGATACAGCGCCATTTGTGGCTCTTCCATGGACTGGATGGCAGACTCCACCAGCTTAGAGGAGGCCTCCAGGTGGTCGCCATACTGACGGATGAGGCCGCGGACGCGCTGCAGCTTCTCCTCTTGCTCCCGGGCCAGCGCCTGCAGCAGCTCACCCTTGCGCTCCTCCAGCACTGCGCACAGGCTCTCAAACCTCTGGTTTAACAACTGCTTCTGCCTCCGGCTATTGTCCTAAAAGATGGGGAGCAAGGATGAGGGAAGGCGTGGCTGAGACCCGGTGGCTGGGAAAGCACAGGGTACTCACAGAGAACCAACACAGAAAGTGACCCATCCGTAGTGACACTGTGAGTTAGTGGCTGAGCCAGAACCCAGCCCAGATCTTTTCCATAATAAAAACACAATGCTTTAAAGTAGCTTCACTGATTGCTGTCTATATCCCTAGCCCTGGTTTTTATTTGCATTATTCCATTTAATTCTCAAAAAGAACCCATGAGGTAGCTGGTGTATCATTATCATCATCACTGTTTTATGAGGTTAAACAAAACCAAAGCACAGAGAAGTTAAATAACTGGATTAAAGTTTTGCGGCAAAGCTGGAATGCACACCCAGCAGCCTGGCAAAAGCACCTCCCACCACTCCCAGGACCCCAGAAACTTTCAGACCAGTTTGGCGAGAGGTCAGAGAGGAGCAGTTCTCTTGGGAGCCCGGGGTCCGCAGGCTAGCCAGTTGCTGTTCCTCCCTCCCTCCAGCCCAGGCTCACCTCGATAGTCTGGCACACCTCCTCCATCTGTGTGATCACTGCTTGCACGCGGTCATTGCCTGCCACCAGCATCGCGATGCCATCGCTGAGCTCACTCTGATACACACACAGGTCAGCACTCAGAGCTGGGACCTGGCCTAGAGCTACACCCCTCACCCCAGCCAGGGTTGCCTAGGAGAGGGCTGGCCCTTCCACCTCACCCCCCATAAGGGCATCTACAGCAATCTAGAAGGCTTGAACCATCAAGAGGTACGGAAGCACATTCTAGTGATTCTGGAAGGAGGTGGAGAGAAGCCCTCCACCACTAAGTGGGGAAGGAACAGACAGTCTCCAAACATCCACCAGATACCAGACACTGGGCTAGATACTTTATCTGTAGATTCATTTCTTGCATCGATTCTGAGAAAGTCTTCAAGATTATCCATTGGCATAATATTGCCTCTTCTCTATTCTCTTTATCCTCTCATTCTGGGAATCTGATTAGACCTGTTAGACCTTCTCACTCTCAGCCTTCTCATCATCTCCCAGAACTGCACGTTCTGTTTTTCTTTCAGTCCTCTCATACTGGTCACTAGTTCTGTTTTCAGACAAATCTATCATTCAATTCATTCGTTGATTTTTTTTTAAATTTTTTTTGAGACGGAGTCTTGCTCTGTCACCCAGGCTGGTCTCGAACACCAGGCCTTGTCCTCCTGCCTCAGCCTCCCTAGTCACTGGGTTTACAGGTTCCAGCCACCATGCCCAGCCATCTGTTGAATGTTTTATATCTATCTATCTATATATATATATATATCTGTATATCTATATCTATCTATCTATCTATCTATCTATATATATATATTTGAGACAAGGTCTCACTCTGTCACCAAGGCTGGAGTGCAGTGGCTCGATCTCAGTTCACTGCAGCCTCGACCTTCCAGGCTCAGGTGATCCTCCCACCTCAGCCTCCCAGGTAGCTGGGACTACAGGCGCATGACACCACGTCCGGCTAATTTTTTATATTTTTTTGTAGACGGGGTTTCAACATTTCCCCAGGTTGGTCTCCAACTCCTGGACTCAAGTGATCCTCCCACCTCAGCCTCCCAAAGTGTCGGGATTACCGGCGTGAGCCACCACACCCAGCTACATGGTTGGTTTTTGATATTCTATTATTGTTTGGTTTTTAAAATTTTTCATCTTTTTTTAAAAAGCATTTGATTTATAGTGACTTCCAATTATTTAATAATTCCAATATCTCAGTTGCTTTTGTGGGGGGTCCTAAATCTGTATTTTTTGTTTCTGCTGACTTCACTCATGGATTACGTTTCTCTGTGCACCTTCAATTGTGATCTAATATTTTATTGATATTAATTAATCTAGGGAATACCTACGGGCCTAAATTGTGCATATTTTCCTCTAGGCAGTATTTGCATTTGCCTCTGTTGAAAGCCAGGTGGCGCAATTTACTGCTTTAGCTCCTAGGATCCTAGTTTAACCTACGGTCTCCGGAAACTTTTTTTTTTTTTTAGACGGAGTCTCTCCCTGTTGCCCAGGCTGGAGTGCAATGACGTGATCTCAGCTCACTGCAACCTCCGCCTCCTGGGTTCAAGCGATTCTCCTGCCTCAGCTTCCCGAGTAGCTGGGATTACAGGGCCTGCAACCACGCCCGGCTAATTTTTTGTATCTTTAGTAGAGACGGGATTTCACCATGTTGGCCAGGTCTCAAACTCCTGACCTAGTGATCCGCCCGCCTCGGCCTCCCAAAGTGTTGAGATTACAGGCGTGAGCCACTGCGCCCAGCCGGGTCTCTGGAATCTTAGCTGCAGGTACCCCTCCTTTTAGGGGTTTGGAGGAATAGTCTGGTCTCTCTAGCTCAGTGACATTGCCAGCACTGGTCCTCTGCGAAATGCTGCCTTTTCTGTGCTTGCCACTCAGGGTTCTGCTTTCAGCTCCGCCTTTTCTCTTCGCCCCTCCCCACCCCCACTGATTTCCTTTGCTTCTATGTACCAAGCAATATAATTTGAAAATTCTGTTTTACACAGAATCTAGTTGTGTGATAGAGAGGACCCTGCAAGTATCTCACCCACCATACTGAAGTCTCTGCTTTCATCCATTATCGAATTTTATCCTTATAGCTACTTTCACAAGTAGGCATTTTCACCCTAATTTTACACATGAGGAAAGTGAGGGCCACAAAGGTCCAGTAACATACCTAGGTGACACACCAAGTCAAGCACAGAGCTAGGACTTTGACTCCAATCTGCTTGACTTTTATTTTATTTTCGAGACAGAGTTTCACTCTTTTTGCCCAGGCTGGAGTGCAATGGCGCAATCTCAGCTCACTGTAACCTCCGCCTCTGGAGTTCAAGTGATTCTCCTGCCTCAGCCTCCCGAGTAGCTGGGATTACAGGCGACTGCCACCATGCCCAGCTAATTTTGTATTTTTAGTAGAGAAAGGGTTTCACCATGTTGGCCAGGCTGGTTTGGAACTCCTGACCTTAAGTGATCCGTTCACCTTGGCCTCCCAAAGTGCTGGGATTACAGGCATGAGCCACCACGCCTGGCTTAATCTGCTTGATTTTATTTTTATTTACTTATTTTATTTTAGGTATTATTATTATTATTATTTTTAGACGGAGTCTCGCTCTGTCGCCCAGGCTGGAGTGCAGCGGCCCGATCTTGGCTCACTGCAAGCTCTGCCTCCCAGGTAAACAATTCTGCCTCAGCCTCCCGAGTAGCTGGGACTACAGGCGCCTGCCACCACGCCCGGCTAAGTTTTTTGTATTTTTAGTAGAAATGGGGTTTCACCGTGTTAGCCAGGATGGTCCCGATCTCCTGACCTCGTGATCCACCCACTTTGGCCTCCCAAAGTACTGGGATTACAGGCGTGAGCCACCGCGCCTGGCCTATTTATTTATTTTTGGATGGAGTTTTGCTCTTGTTGCCCAGGCTGGAATGCAATAGCGCAATCTCAGCTCACTGCAACCTCCGCCTCCCGGGTTCAAGCGATTCTCCTGTCTCAGCCTCCCAAGTAGCTGGGATTACAGGCACATGCCACCACACCTGGCTAATTTTTGTATTTTTAGTAGAGACAGGGTTTCATTATATTGGTCAGGCTGGTCTCGAACTCCTGATCGCAGGTGATCCGCCCGCCTCGGCCTCTTAAAGTGCTATGATTGCAGGTGTGAGCCACCGCCCGGCCTGCTTGACTTTAAAACTAAGTGGAGTAACGCTTTGGGAGGCTGAGGTGTCAGGGGCGTTTGAACCAGAGCAACTCCATCTTGAATAGGGGCTGGGTAAAATGAGGCTGAGACCTACTGGGCTGCATTCCCAGATGGTTAAGGCATTCTAAGTCATAGGATGAGATAGGAGGTCGGCACAAGATACAGGTCATACAGACCTTGCTGATAAAACAGGTTGCAGTAAGGAAGCCGGCCAAAACCCACCAAAACCAAGACGCCAATGAGAGCGACCTCTGGTGGTCCTCACTGCTACACTCCCATTAGCTCCATGACAGTTTACTAATGCCATGGCAATGTCAGCAAGTGACCGTATATGTTCTAAAAAGGGAAGGCATGAATAATCTACCTCTTGTTTAGCATATCATCAAGAAATAACCACAAAAATGGGCAACCAGGCTGGACCCGGTAGCTCACACCTATAATCCCAGCACTTTGGGAGGCCAAGGAGAGTGGATCACCTGAGTTCAGGAGTTTGAGACCAGCCTGGCCAACATGGTGAAACCCTGTCTCTATTAAAAATACAAAAATTAGCCAGTCATGGTGGCGGATGCCTGTAATCCCAGATACTTGGGAGGCTGTGGCAGGAGAATCGCTTGAATCTGGGAGGCGGAGGTTGTAGTGAGCTGAGATCGCGCCATTGCATTCCAGCCTGGGCGACAAGAGCGAAACTCCATCTAAAAAAAAAAAAAAAAAAAAAAGAGGGCAACCAGCAGCCCTAGGGGCTGCTCTGTCTATGGAGTGGCCATTGTCTTATTCCTTTACTTTCCTAATAAACTTGCTTTCACTTTACTCTATGGACTAGCCCTGAATTCTTTCTTGCGCGAGATCCAATAACCCTGTCTTGGGGTCTGTGTCAAGACCTCTTTCCTCTAACAGAGGCAGGAGGATGGCTTGAGCCCAGGAATTCAAAACAAGCCTGGGCAACACAGTGAGATCTTGTCTCTTTTTAATATTGTATGTTTGTTTTTGAGACAAGGTCTCACTCTATCACCCAGGCTGGAGTGCCGTGGTGCAATCATGGCTCACTGCAGCCTCAACCTCCCGGGCTCAAGTGATCCTCCCACCTCAGCCTCCCGAGTAGCTGGGACTACAGGCATGCCACCATGCCCAGCTAATTTTTTGTAGAGACAAGGGTCTCACTATGTTACACAGCTCAGGCTGGTCTCAAATTCCTGGACTCAAACAATCCCCCTGCCTCGCTCTTCTAAAGTATTATTAGTACTACTACTACTAATAAATATTATTATTAGTACTACTACTACTAATAAATATTATTATTAGTAGTATCCTCCCAAAGGATTACAAGTGTGAGTCACTGTGCCCTGCCTGAGACCCTGTCTCTATGTAAAAATAAAAAATTAGGTTCGGGCGCAGGGGCTCACGCCTGTAATCCCAGCATTTGGGAGGCCAAGGTGGGTGGATCACCTGAGGTCAGGAGTTCCAGACCAGCCTGGCCAACATGGTGAAGCCCCGTCTCTACTAAAAATACAAAAAATTAGCTGGACATGGTGGTAGGCGCCTATAATCCCAGCTACTCTGGAGGCTGAGGCAGGAGAATTGCTTGAACCTGCGAGGCAGAGGTTACAGTGAGCCGAGATCGTGCCATTGCACTCCAGCCTGGGCAACAAGAGCAAAACTCCATCTCAAAATAAATAAATAAACAAATAAATAAATAAATAAAATAAAATAATTAGCTGGTCATGGTGGCACATGCCTGTAGTTCCAGCTACTTGGGAGATTGAGGTGGTAGGGATCACTTGAGCCCAGGAGTTCAAGGCTGCTGCAGTGAATCACAATCATACCAGTGCATTCCAGCCTGCGCGACAGAGATCCCCACATCTCTTAAAAAATAAATAAATGGAGCTGGGCGCAGTGGCTCACACCTGTAATTCCAGCACTCTGGGAGGCCAAGGTGGACGGATCACATGAGGCCAGGAGTCAAAAAAAAACCAAAAAACAAAAAAGCTGGGTGTGGTGGCACATGCCTGTAATCCCAGGTACTTGGAAGGCTGAGGCATAAGAACAGCTTGAACCCGGGAGGCTGAGGTTGCTGTGAGCCAAGACTGCACCACTGCACTCCAGCCTGGGCGACAGAGCGAGACTCCATCTCAAAATATGATAGATAGATAGATAGATAGATAGATAGATAGATAGATAGGGCTGAGTGCGGTGGCTCACATCTATAATCTTAGTGTTCTGCGAGGCTAAGATGGGAGGATCACTTGAGCTCGGGAGATCAAGGCTGCAGTAAGTTGTGTTTGTGCCACTGCACTCCAGCCTGGGCAACAGAGTGAGATCCTGTTTCTAAATAAATAAAGAAATAAGTAAACAAAAGATAAGTGGAGTAAGAGGCTGACACTGAGACCCTGTCCTAAGCCCCCATCTCTCACATATCTACTCCCTCCCCTGTTTGATACCTTCTGGCGTTTGTAAATGGTGGGCAGTGGGGCCACCTCACAGTCCTTGTGGGCACCGAAGACCTTGCAGAGAGAGCAGGTGGGCACCTCACAGCTCAGGCAGTAAATATTGATCTTCTCTTCTTCATGCTCCTCGCACATGAGGTGCTGCTCAGCCTTGGAGTGCAGCGGCCTAGAGAGGAGTGGGCAGGGGGAGGTGGACCTTAAGCATGAAGGGTCCTAGGAATACCTTCTCTTCAGCCTCCACCAACTGCCACCACCTTCTCCGCCCCTGCAGCTAGTGCTGTGGCTGAACTGGTGAGTACTTCCACAGAGCTCTGAATTTGGGGAACAGAAGGAGCTAAGAGATAGAGGAGGCCTGGATCCGAGAACAGTCTGTATTACAAGGGGGCAGGGAAGTCCCACAGGACAGGAAGTCTTGGAGGGTTAGCGAGGATCTTGCTGGTGGACTGCCAGCCTCTCCCAGGAGGAGAGGGTAGGAGTGAAGTACTGGCTAGGGAATCAGAGACTGCCCTCTCTGGGAGGCCTGAGGCAAGTCCCTCTCCGGATCCAGTCCTATGGTCTCTAGACAGAACAGGCAGGTTGACCGTTTCAATCTCTCCCTTTTGGCTCTGATGGGTTCCTTGGCTGTGTCCCAAGCCCTGTCATGAGAGAGGCAAGAGACTCTGGTGGCTCACCTGGATGACTCCTGCTTGTAAATGTCGATAATGTTCTCCACTAGCAGGTTTCGCTGCAGGCCGTAGACACCGTGTCTGTCCAGGACAACCTCATGCCTGCACGATGGGCAGCGGAAACGGCCTCCTGAAGACACAGTGGTGGAGCCCCGGGACTGCCATAGAGGATTCGAGGCCTGCAGGGACAGATGGCTTGAGAGAACAGGCACGGGGAGGCATGAAGGGACTCGGAGGAGGCAGGGGGAAAGGGCTTGGGGGCTAGGGAGTAGGAACTTGATGGAGGGGAAGATGTCAGCTCTTCTCTGTGGCTGGATCCACCTCTGAGAGCAGCGCACGGTGGACGGCCATGGAGACCCTGCTTCCCACCTTTGCCTCATTATTCAGCCCACCTCCTAGAGTGCCCCTGCATCCAGAACTCAGCTTTGGTCAAGGCATAGTCAGGATGGGATCTCTCCAAAGGGGTCCAGCTTGGAGCCATGGGGAGACATTGGTCTTGGCAATAAGGCTGAGGCAGGAAATGAACTCTGAGTGGTGCGACCAATGTCTTCCAGTCTGGGGCCCTCTTGGGCCACAACTGGAGGAGATTCTCTGCAGTCCTGGGCAGGGGTACAAGCAGATACAAGTGCTCAACAATGGGGTTCACAAACTGTAACTAGCCAGGTAATTCTAGAAAATTGCTCCAGGAACTGGAAGTCAGGAGTCCTGGGTTCTTGTGCTATCTCTGATGCCCTCCCCCCGGCCTTTTTTTTTTTTTTTTTTTTTGAGACAGGTTCTTTCTCTGATGCCCAGGCTGGAGTGCAGTAGTGGGATCACAGCTCACCGCAGCCTCGACCTCCTGGGCTCAAGCAATCCTCCCATCTCAGTCTTCTGAGTAGCTGGGACTAGAGGTGTGTGCCACCATGCCCAGATAATTTTTTTTATTTTTAGTAGAGATGAAGTATCACTATGTTGCCCAGGCTGGTCTTAAACTCCTGACCTCAAGTGACCCTCCCACCTCGGCCTCCCAAATTGCTGGGATTATAGGCGTAAGCCACCATGCCCAACCTCTTAAGTATATAAATTTAGGCAGGTATTCAACCTCTGTAAAGCTGAGGATAAAATTATTCATTTATAGTGTGCCAGGTAGTTGCTGGACTCTGAGTTAAAGATACAAAGAAAATGCATCCTGTCCTAAGGACAAGCACCTGACAACTGCATCCAGCAGGATGGGTGTTGTGATAGGGGTAGGCTCAGAAGGAGGACTTAACAGACACCCATCACTTCCTCCGGCTTACATCTCTTGCCTAGAGTAGTTGCTCCATCCTATCCTAGAAGGGAGATCCCTGCCACAGATGATTGATTCAGAGCTAAGGAGGTGATCACCTGACCCAAGCAGAACCAATCAAATATTCTCTCCTAAGAATTTGGACTTGAGACTCAGGGGCTTAGCTGGCTACGCCATGTTCTGCTTAGGAATTGAATAGACCTGTGGAATTGGGCTAAGAGCTGACATCACGGCCACCCTGGAAAGTGTAAGGGGTCAGAAACTGAACAGAGAAGGCTGGTCTACAGAGAAAAGAGTCTATGTGTGGGGAGATGCAGAGATGAAAGACTGGCAGACACTGCTTATTGTACCCTGACGTTCACCACCTTTTCTTCTTTAATAATAAGTGCCCTGAGTTTTAACAAGACACATGGTATAAAGGGCTGGGTGTGGTGGCTCATGCCTGTAATCCCAGCACTTTGGGAGGCCGAGGTGGGCAGATCACTTGAGCTCAGGAGTTTGAGACCAGCCTGGGCAACATAGCAAGAACTCATCTCTACTAAAAATAAAAAAATTAGCTGGGCACGGTGGTGCACACCTGTAGTCCCAGCCACTTGGGAGGCTGAGGCAGGAGAATTGCTTGAAACCAGGAGACAGAGGCTGCAGTGAGCTGAGATAGTACCACTGCACTCCAGCCTGGGCAACAGAGGGAAACTCCATCTCAAAAAAACAAACCAAAAAACCCATGAATCTAAGCCTCCCTTCCAGCTGGGTGTGGCCAATTGGCTGTGCTCTGGGATGTAGATGCAAATGTTTTGTGTAATTTGTAGGAAATTGCACAAACCGTCTTTCATGGGAGGGGCATGCCCTGCTCCTCCCCTTTTCTCCTGCCTGCTGGCTGGAAAGAAGACGGGATGGCTCAAGTTGAAGCAGCCGTCTTGAGCCATGAAGTGGCAGCCACATGTTGAGAATGGTAACGAGATGAAAGGAGGTCTCTGATGAGGCAGTCCTGCACTGTCCACCCATACTTTCACTTGAGAATAAAGCAAATTTTTACCCTCTTTAAGCCACTGTTATTCTGGGGTTTCTGCCACTTAGAACAGAACCTAATCCCAACTGGCTGGAAGATTATGCATTCCTAGAGAGTAATGGAGACAGTGGTCACCTATGAGCTAGCATAGTGAGATGCACTTCCTACAACTGGGATGCATGAACTTCTCCAAACCCTTACACCATACACAAACCAGAAGACAGTTTGGAAGGCCCCTTGCGTGTGTGCAGCAACACCCCATCATGCACAGAGTGCAGCCAAGTCAAGGGTCTTGTTTGATCCTTTGGTAGCAAGGGCTGTAGGCAAGGCAGGAAACGTGGACCCACTGTGAAGTGAGCAGCTTATCTTGGGGAGAGTAACTGGTGTGTGCCATAAATATCACATCTTTCTTGGGATTTCTTGAGAATCATGTTAACCTTTAAGCCCATCATAAACCTGGGGCAGATTAGTTTGAGATAATTCAAGGCATGTTTGTACATCTGCCTTCTCAGTAGCTAGAAATGTATGAATATTGTTGAGTTTAGTTTAGGGAATGCGTTAAAGTGTATAATCACTTGCCTTTTGTTTGCTTAATACAATTACTTTTCAATATTTAGAACCCAAGTGAGGAAAGAGGTGTTGGGAGAACTCTAAGGCTGCAGTCTCCTGTCTTTCTTATCTTTGATTTGCTGATGGCAAGCATATAGAGATATTTGAATGGGAGGAAGGGGGACCTATATCCCACAGCAAAGATAAACTCTTGGGCAGCCGCTCTCCCCAACCTCCATCCCTCACTGCACCCTTCCTCTTCCTGAGCCACAAAGGCAGGGATACTCATTACTTAACATTCAACAAATGTTTTGAGACCAGGCGCGCTGGCTCATGCCCGTAATCCCAGCACTTTGGGAGGCCGAGGTGGGTGGATCATGAGGTCAAGAGTTCGAGACCAGCCTGGCCAACACGGTGAAATCCCGTCTCTACTAAAAATACAAAAATTAGCTGGGTGCGGTGGCAGGCGCCTGTTATCCCAGATACTTTGGGAGGCTGAGGCAAGAGAATTGCTTGAACCCGGGAGGTGGAGGCTGCAGTGAGCCAAGATCATACCATTGCACTCCAGCCTGGGAGACAAGAGTGAAACTCCGTCTCAAAAAAAATATGTTTTGAGGGCTTATCATGTGTCAAGCATCGTGTCATGGGTTTTCCAGACATTGTTGTATTTATTCCTCAAGAACTTCTTGTAAAGATGGTTGAGGATCCCAGCTACTCGGGAGGCTGAGGCACAAGAATCACTCAAACCCTGGAGTCGAACCCAGGAGGCCGAGGTTGCAATGAGCCGAGATTGCGCCATTGCACTCCAACCTGGGCGACAGAGCAGGACTCTGTCTCAAAAAACAAACAAACAAAAAAAGATGGTCGAGGAGGTGAACAATCACTCCTAACTTAGTCTACAAGAAATAGAATAATAATGGCTAACATCTACTGAGCCAGGATTTGCTCTAAGTCTTTCATTTGTATTAATTCACTTAATCCTCATATCAACCCTGAAGTAGGTAATACTCTTTTTTTTTTTTTTTTTTTTTGAGATGGAGTCTTGCTCTGTCGCCCAGGCCGGAGTGCAGTGGTGCAATCTCAGCTCACTGCAACCTCCATCTCCTGGGTTCAAGCGATTCCCCTGCCTCAGCCTCCCAAGCAGCTGGGACTACAGGCGCCTGCCACTATGTCCGGCTAATTTTTTTGTATTTTAGTAGAGACAGGGTTTCACCATGTTGGCCAGATGGTCTCAATCTCCTGACCTCATGATCCGCCCACCTCAGCCTCCCAAAGTGCTGGGATTACAGGCGTGAGCCACCATGCCTGGCCCTGAAGTAGGTAATAGTCTTAGCCCCATTTCAAGGATGAGGAAATTGTGTCTCAGTGAAATTAAATAAATTGTACACGGTCATGAGCTAATAGGTGGCAAAGCCAGTACTGGAACTTAGGCACTCTGACTCCAGAGCCTGTCCTAATAATCATTGTGTTCCATTGTCAGACACAATAAAACTTAGGCCAGGCTGTGCACGGTGGCTCATGACTGTAATCCCAACACTTTGGGAGGTCAAGGCAGCAGGATGGCTTGAGTGCAGGAGTTCAAGACCAGCCTGGGCAGTACAGTGAAACCACGTCTCTACAAAAAGAAGAAAAAGCAAGATGGCTCATGCCTTTAGTCCCAGGTATTTGGGAGGCTGAGGTGGGAGGATCACTTGAGCCCAGGAAGTCAAGGCTGCAGTGAGCTGTGATCATGCCACTGCACTACAGCATGGGTGACAGAGGGAGACCTGTCTCAAAAACAAAACAAACAAAAAACAAAACAAAAAAACCCTTAGAGCTAATATTCATTTCTCTGAGTCTCAGGCAGAGGCAGTTTCTTTTACTGTTGTTGTTGTTGTTATTATTGTTGTTGTTGTTTTTGAGACAGAGTCTCACTCTGTCGTCGGGCTGGAGTGCAGTGGCAGGATCTTGGCTCACTGCCACCTCCACCTCCCGGGTTCAAGCGATTCTCCTGCCTCAGCCTCCTGAGTAGCTGGGAGTACAGGCACGTGCCACCATGCCCGGCTAATTTTTTGCATTTTTAGTAGAGATGGGGTTTCCCCATGTTGGCCAGGCTGGTCTTGAACTCCTGACCTCAGGTGATCCACCCACCTCGGCCTCCCAAAGTGCTGGGATTACAGGTGTGAGCCACCTCACCTGGCCGTTTTTTGTTTTTGTTTTTTAAGTAAAAAAAGTAAAAGGGTAATGAAGGAACAAACCTCAAACCTTCACAGAGGAAAGAAACTACAGCCTGAAAATCAACTATGCAACTGTGGACTAAAGCTATTTAAGCAAAGATCAACAAAAGATGACTCATCAAATTAAAACCCTGTGTGCCATGGAGCTCTATAAGGGCCCTGCTTTCAACCAGAATGACCTGTTTGTCTGTGAAATGGAGAGGAAATAGCTCAAATCTCAGGGGAGACCTCCTCCCATGGACCTGTGTGGGCCTCTATGGTAGATAAATCACCGGATTCTGCGTGAAAAATACTCCAAGACAACACAACCAAATTGAGACACTCAACTACCTATTAATTCAGGTCATACCCCTCTATTCACCAAAGAAGGCACAGAACTAAAGAGAGATTGCAAAACCAATGACAACATCCAACCAGGCAGCTTATATTTAAGAGGACAGTGAAAGAAAGCCAAGATAAACACAGTGGGTTGAGTCAGGAATTCACCTTCAGCTCCAGATAAAAGTACCCTGATAAAAGGGGAGTGATAAGCAGACAGAATCCAACAAAAGATGCAAACCAGATAATACAAAAAGAAAAGAAAAAAGAAAGCTTGACAAACAAGGGACAGATACTCCAAGAATCAATACCATTTCGATATACCATTTTAAAAGAAATAACAAAAACAAAGAGATATAAGTGATCAAAACTGGAGAAGAAAAGAGAGCTGGCAGAATTAAGGAAAGAAATCAAGTAAATATCAACACAGAAAAAAAATCCACATTTGACAGGAGAATGGATGATGCTGATAAAAGTCACATAGATTGCAATAGAAATTATCAGCTAAAAGTAACCAGGTCTGCAGTCTGTAACATGGATAAACCTTGAAGACATTATGCTAAGCAAAATAAGCCAGACACAAAAGGACAAATATTGTATGATTCCTCTTAAATGAGGTACCTGGCATAGGATGGATGGTGGTTGCCAGTTGCTGGAAGGAGGGGGAGTAGGGAGGTATTGTTTAAGGGGTGTGGGGTTTCAGTTTGGGGTGGTGATAAAGTTCTGGGGATGGATAGTGGTGACAGTTTCACAACAATGTAAATGTATGTAATGCCATTGAACTGTACATTTAAAAGGTTAAGGTGGTACATTTCATGTTATGTGCATTTTACAAAAATTAAAAAAAATTTTTTGAGACAAGATCTCTCTCTCTGTCGTCTCAACTTCCTGGGATCGAGGGATCCTCTCACCTCAGCCTCCCAAGTGGCTGGGACTGCAGGTGTGCCACCATGCCCAGCTAATTTTTAAAAAAAGTTTCTGCAGAGATAGGGTCTTGCTAGTTGCCCAGGCTGATGTCAAACTCCTGGCCTCAAGCGATCCTCCTACCTCAGCCTCCCAAAGTGCTGGAATTTCAGGGGTGAGACCCCATGCCAAGCTTACAATTTTTAGAAAGAAAAAAGTAATCAGGACTTGGGCTATCTTGGCCAATGTCTTCCTTCAAACTCCCCACAGCCAGAACTGACTTCAGGACTTGACCTGAGGGAGGCACACTAACACCACCTCTTCAACACCCTCCCACCTGCCAAAGCAATTTCTTTAGCAGCTCATCGCATTGGTTAGTCATTGCATTTATTCTGGAGCCCAGAAGGCTAAGAGGCATCAGTACTCAGGCAGTCCAACCCAAGTCCTTTGAAAAGTTCCTGTCTTGGGAGAGAGAAATCGGGAGTGTGTGAGCTCAGGGTGCAGGGCGGTGGGGAGAGGCTGCACCTCTGCTTTCCCACCGTCTTGCTCAGGGCTGGTGCTGCTCCCTGCTGCTGACACCACAGTCCCGTATTTTGCGTGTAGCTTTCATCCCCCAGTCCCAGAGTCCCCTCCTGATTCACAAGTCCAATTTCTCCTGCCATATCTCCGTCGGGCCTGGCTGGCTTTCATCTTAATCTCCAGGGCAGCCCTTCCCTTCTGTGATTGCTTCAGCAATGCTAGCCCCCAGCCAAATCCTAACCCCACTTCCTTTGCTAGTCTTTCTGGCCAATATTTACATACATGTGCTTTTTGGCATTAAGACTACATTTGACTTGTAATAAAATAGTAAAATTTATCCTTCAGACTTTCCAGGGCCTCTGGCTCATATTGCTTAGACGCCCTCATTGTGTTTCCCAAAATATGGTATAATACTGATGACAAGCATGAAGATTGGAGGTGGTATGGGGATGGATGTTCAAGATTTTTTATGTGTTAATTCTAATGCATATTAGGAAAAAAACAGTCCACAAAAAACTGACAATTTTTCATGGATTACATTGTATAGAATAAGGATAAAGTAAATATTTAAGGTTTAAAAGTCATTTTTTGTTTGTTTGTTTTTGTTTTGCGACAGGGTTTCACTCCTGTAGCCCAGGCTAGAATGCAGTGGCACGATCTCGGCTCACTGCAACCTCTGCTTCCCGGGCTCAAGTGATTCTCCAGCCTCAGCCTCCTGAGTAGCTGGGACTATAGGCGTTCACCACCATGCCCAGCTAATTTCTTTATATTTTAGTAGAGACAGGGTTTCACCATGTTGGCCAGGCTGCTCTCAAACTCCTGAACTCAAGTGATCTGCCTACCTTGGCCTCCCAAAGTTCTGGGATTATAGGTGTGAGCCAGTGCACCTAGCCTAAAAGTGAGTGTTTTAAAATAGAACTATTAAATTATAGTACAGGTAGTACACAGCTATGGCAAAAATCAGGAAGGTGAAATAAGAATGAAATTTGCTAACCATTTCCTGACTTTCTCTACCAAAATTTGTCTGACTTGTGTTCCAAACCTTTTGCAAATGTTGAGTGGCTACTTTGAGAAAGTCTTCTATACTGGCTATATGGGTCAAATTGTTGCCCCTTATAGGTAACATCTCTGGTTTTTAACAGAAGCATTTAATGGAGCACAATATAGGGGAAGCAGCACAAAACCACAGCAGTTTTAGCAGCCCGTGACTTTGTCACCAACGGAAATCACAGCTGTTTTCATATCGCATTACAGTTGTTGCTAAAATTTCAAAAAATAATGTATGCTTATCATTACTTCTTTATTTATTTATTTATTTTTAGATGGAGTCTTGCTCTGTCACCCAGGCTAGGATGCAGTGGCACAATCTCGGCTCACTGCAACTTCTACCTCCTGGGTTCAAGCGATTCTCTTGCCTCAGCTAGGCGCCCGCCACCATGCCCGGCTAATTTTTTGATTTTTAGTAGAGACGGGGTTTCACCGTGTTAGCCAGGATGGTCTCCATCTCCTGACCTCGTGATCTGCCCGCCTCTCCCTCCCATAGTGCTGGGATTACAGGCATGAGCCACTGGGCCCGGCTGCTTATCACTACTTCTAAATTACAGCAGTTCAGACTCACTGCTAGACCTCATTCTTTAATGTGTTAGTTAAGAAGCACATGTATTACTCCATCAAATGTGCTTTAAATATTTTGGTGATTATATTCCAGTGTTTCCAAAGCTTTCTTCATTATTGTCCCCTCTGGGAGACTTTTTAATTAAAAAAATTTTTTTTAAGAGATAGTGTCTCTTAAAAAGATAGCACGGTGGCTCACACCTGTAATTCTAGAACTTTGGAAGGCCGAGGTGGGTGGATCACTTGAGGTCAGGAGTTTGAGACCAGCCTGGCCAACATGATGAGACCCTGTCTCTACTAAAAATACAAAAATTAGCCAGGCATGGTAGCTTGCACCTGTAATCCCAGCTACTCGGGAAGCTGAGGCATGAGAATCACTTGAACCTGGGAGGTGGAGGTTGCAGTGAGCCGAAATCAAGCCACCGCACTCCAGCCTGGGCTACTGAGCGAGACTCTGTCTCAAAAAAAAAAAAAAAAAAAAAAAAAAAAAGAGAAAGAGAGAGATAGTGTCTCACTATGTTGCTCAGGCTGGCCTCAAACTCCTAGGCTCAAGCGATCCTCCTGCTTCAGCCTCCTGAGTACCTGAGACTGCAGGTGTGTGCCACTGCTCAGGATCCTTTTTAGACATTTCCCCCAATAGCTCCCATCCCCCTCATTAAATATTAATATCATAGATGTATCTGTTTATGTACCGCATGCTTATCTATCCTTTACACATAAAAAGAGTAAAATCTGGCCATGTGCAGTGGCTCATGCCTGTAATCCCAGCACTCTGGGAGGCCGAGGCGGGCAGATCACCAGAGGTCAGGAGTTTTGAGACCAGCCTGACCAACATGGAGAAACCCTGTCTCTACTAAAAATACAAAATTAGCCAGGTGTGGTGGCATGTGTCTGTAATCCCAGCGACTTGGGAGGCTGAGGCAGGAGAATTGCTTGAACCCGGGAGGCAGAGGTTGTGGTGAGCTGAGATCACGCCATTGCACTCCAGCCTTGGCAACAAGAGCCCCCTTCCAAGAATTAATTTTTTCCCCTTGAGAGCAATATCACTCCCATTAAGAATACATGCTGTATTCTAATGCCATCAGTTTCCTTTATAACCATATGTATTATATTGCATGCATTTAGAAATATTGTTATTAGAAAGGATCCACAGGTTTCACACACTGACATTGGTCCACGGCACACACAAAAAATTACTCCCTACCCTGATTTTAAGTCCCTCAATTTTCTCATCACAAATAACGATTTTATACTCTAAGGGATACATGACAACTTCCTTAATACATCTTCATAGCTGACAGTCTCTACATTAGGCTAAAGATCTTTCAGCTGACTAATATCCAGTTAGAAAAATCCTATCTTCTGCTTCTGTTTATCTTTCCATTTCAAGACTAAGAGATAACTGATTGGTTCTATTATACACATAAATGTCCTGTTCTTTCCTTAAATCTTACATTTATGCAAGGAAGCCAGCCCCATAAAGTAAAATTTCACGTGCCAATGATGTGATGTGTAGAGGAAATTCCATCACTCTAGGAAACATAACAGAACACCTAGATTTATGTCCTTAGTCTGTCCCTTTGTTTGTGTGACTGTGACCTGTTTCCTATGTTCTCTTCTGTAAAACGGAGATAACATCCATTCGATCTAACTCAAATGGAATCATGTTTGTGAATGTATTCTATAAATTATAAGGCACTGCACAAACACAGAGGACTGTTAACAATCCTAATCTAGACCTTAAAAAGAAATGACCACACAGAACCACAGGGTACGAAATGACTGTTCTTTCTCCACTGTGAAGGATAAGATGGAATGGAACAAATAAATGGAATTTAATTCTAGGCTATGTTCAAGGCTGTTGTGTGGAATATATGCCATGAGCTCTCTCTCTTTTAGGCTTTACGGTGCCTTCTATTTCCTTTGTAATGTTCCATAGCATCTAATAGAAATGTTCCATCTAGAAAGATGCTCTGTAAATGCAGCTAGTCTAGCAAATCCATACTTATGTCAGAATGTTTTCCCTCTTCCCTGGCTATCCAGAGAGGTGCTAATTTGGGACACAGGCTCTGGATGCAATGGGGCTTTTTGGAGGCTATTTCCCTCAACCTGAAGGCCTGGCCAGTGATGAATGATGGACCATCCAAGTTCTGTGAGCCAGACACTCAGAATATGCTGGAAAAACCTTGGGAAAACGGTGGGCAGAAGACCAGACATTTGGAGAAAAGCTGAAGCGCCTGAGAAGAATCCAGGTTTTGGTAAAAGCTGAGCTGCAGGTATAAGAGGGACTGTAAACAGAGGGCTAGCTATGGGCGGTAGAACCTAGGGAAGAGCTTGGCCCAAGGGGCTGGTAAACCAAGCCCTACTGCTTGAAAGGAGGAGTGATAAGCAGAAGAGTGGGCCAAATTAGGACACTGGTCACAGAATGGAAAGCCCTCAAAAAATGGAAATCCACAAAAATATTTTTCGACTTTGTGAAACCAAATCGTTAGAATTGCAAGAGATGTTAAAGGTCAGTTTAAGGCCAGGTGCAGTGGCTCACGCCTATAACCCCAGAGCTTTTGGAGGCTGAACTGAGAGGATCGCTTGAGGCCAGGAGTTTGAGACCAGCTTGGGCAACATAGTAAGACTTTGTCTGTACAAAAACATTTTTTTTTTAATTAGCTGAGTGTGGTGGTACATGCCTGTAATCCTAGCTACACGAAAGGCTGAGGCAGAAGGACTGTTTGAGCCCAGGAGTTCAAGGTTACAGTGGACTATGATCGTGCCACTGCACTCCAGCCTGGGTGACAGAGTGAGACCCTGTCTCTGGGAAAAAAAAAATCAGTTTAAAACACCCTTTTCGGTCAGGAACAGTGGCTCATGCCTGTAATCCTGGCATTTTGGGAGGCTGAGGTGGGAGGATCCTTTGAGTCCAGGAGTTGGAGAACAACCTGGGCAACATAGAGAGACCCTTGTCTCTACAAAAAATTACAAAAAAATTAGCCAGGCATAGTGGTGCACACCTGTGGTCCCAGCTACTCAGGGGGCTGAGGTAGGAGGGATGGCTAGAGGCTGGGAAGTCGAGGCTGCAGTGAGCCATCATCATGCCACTGCACTTAACCTGGGTGATAGAATGAGACCCTGTCTCAAAAATAAAGAAAGAAAGAAAACACCCTTTTCATTTATAGTTATGTAAACAGGCTTGAAGTGGTGAAATAGCCTGATATGCATTGTGTGGCAAATTAACAAAGAAACCCGTCAGAGGAGAATCCAGGAGTGCTAAGCCTTAGTCTAGGTTTTCGTTCTCACTAAATCAAGATCTTCCCTACAGAAGTAAGAGCCCTAACCCTGCTACAAATTTAATGCAATTCACAAAATTTTAGTGAACCAATTTTGCATCAGGGAGACCTGCCCAAAGTTGGACTGAAGAAATCCTGGTGCCTTCAGAATGGGTAGAAGTGGTTGAGGAGGCAGGCTGGGTAGGATCTTCTCTGGCAGGCCTGTACCTGATGACACCTGGTCCTAACAACTAAAGGATAAAGAAATGGAATTTGGGTGGCGCGAAACAAAAGTCATCTCTCTCAGACTGCCCCTTGTTAGAGAAGGAGGCTTCTTTCTTGACAATCCCCCCTCTGCAAGTCCCTCTGTAGACAGACCTCCTCCAGAAAAGCTGTTCCAGAACAACCTTCTTACAAGGCCTTTTGGTTGTCTGTTAAATTACAACAGGTTGCAGGCTCAAAAACAAGTGCCCACAGTGAAGTGGAGGCAGGTATAAAAATAAACTGAAGGCTTGCTTTAAAGCCGTTTAGGAGTGAATAGAATTTACAAATACAGAAACACATGGGAAGATGTTTGTGTCAAATTCCCACACCAACAGCTTTCCTTTAGTGGAAGTTCTTGGTAGCTGAGTGGGTGCAAGTGTGGGGAAAGAAGGAGGAAGAAATTAGAGGGGGTTAATGTGGTGTCTTGGTGTTTCATTCTGTTTCAATTCAGAGAGAAAGAGTTGTTACAGCTCTAAAAAGAATTACATTAAGATGGCCACTATGTAAAAATGTTTGCGGACATGGGCTTGAATGTAATATGCAAAAATTGCTGGGCTTGGTGGTGTGCACTCCAGAGGCTGAGGCAGGAAGATAACTTGAGCCCAGGAGTTCAAGATCAGTCTGGGTAACATAATGTGACACCATCTCAAAAAAAAAAAAATAATATGCAAAAATAAAAATAACTGTGTTGGGGAGGTAAGATTATGGATGATTTCCTCCCAACCCCTTAATACTGTTCAACTAACAGTATTTTCTTTTTTGTAGAGATGAGGTCTCACTATGTTGCCCAGGCTGGTCTTAAATTCCTGGGCTCAAGTGATCCTCCTGTCTCAGCCTCCCAAAGTGTTGGGATTACAGGCATGAGCCACCTTACGTAGCCAGTATTTTTAAATAAATTGTTTTCAAATTTTGCTTCCTGGCTGTCTAGTTAACTTGGTCTTATAAAATCACAATTCCCAAAAACTCTTGTTTGTTGTCCATCACGGCAGTTTTTAGGACAACAAAACACAGAAAACCATCTAAATGTTTTAGAGGACAGATTATTTAAATAGACTGTGGTCCAGTCATAACAATGAAAACTACACAGCTATTTAAAAACGAAGACATAAATCTGAATGGTGGATATGGAACAATCACCCACAGCGAGTAAGTGAACAAAGGCAGGTGGGGGGCGATGGGTCTCGCCTGAGAACACATATACATGCAAATGTGCCGATTTGTGGAAATTTTCTGGAAGTATTCCCAAGAAAGTTGGTAATAGTTACTTCTATCTGGTGAGACAACTGAGGGTCTGAGGTGAATAGCAGATTTGCTTTTCATGATATGAACTCCTATACTGCTTGAAAACAGTATGTTTACATGTTACAAATTCTAAGTGATATACTGGTATCACTTTGATAACCGTTAACTTTCTAGGCAATGCTCTAAGGGTATTCTTCCTAAGTGGTTTGAAGGTAGAGGAAAAGTCCTATTCTTTCCAAAAGTCCTATTCTTGCCCCATACTTAGAAAACAGACAATCTGATTATGCCTACAGTTGTCAAAATGTGGAGGCAATGTGCGAAAAAACTAAATATGCTCATCTTTCAGAGGGAGATCTACTGAGATATATTGAGATACACAGATCTAAGTGCAGCTGAAGAACTGGGTCAGCCTCCCACCAGGCCCTCCCAAATAAGCAGCAAGGGATGAGCTGTTCACTCTTCCTCCTTGGAGGGCCCAAGGGTGCTTTGCACCTCAAAAGATACACCACTCCAGATCCACAGAGCCACCCCAAAGCCCTGGGTATCATGTTATCTCCAAATATTCTGTACAGGATTTGCCCCAAGCCATTCCAAGGTCTCTCTGAGCCCAGATCCGTATTCTAGAGCTTTCTGGAACTGAAACAGTGTGCTTGGATAGAGAGAGTTGACTTAAATAAGCAGGTCACTTAAACACATTCTAGCCTCCATGTATGGGGCCTATTCCTCTGCCAGATGACAGAGGGACCCAGGAATGCACTTGGCCCTTCTGACCACTTTTCTACAGGACACATCACCTTAGCTTTCAAAACTTCTCTTTGCTTTCACACATTTCAAGTTCCAGTGTGAGGATGTTTCACTGTAAGTTCATGAGAAAGGATGGCAAAATCTTTCTGCCATTTCCCTCCTAGGCATCTCAGCCTGAAGGATGTTCAGAGTTACTTAGACCAAGGAAAAACCAAGATGGTGGGCAAAGCATTGCCTCTCATGTAGGACTTCATGCCCAGGACGAGGAGGCACAGCATTTGGTCTAGGCCCCCCGAGAGGGAAAATCTACTGGCTCTGAGATACTCTGGAGCTGAATAATGGCAGGTTTGGACACATAAAGAATAGGAGAGGGAATGGGTCTCAATGGGAAGATGGCAGGAGAGACCACAGAGTGCTGGTCTTCAGTGAAGGTGGCACAGAGCAGACACACAAGGTGTGGGTCACAGGGTACATTGTGGGATGGCCTGACCTAGCCAGCCCATTCCTTTCCAAAACAAGCTGCCCCAAGGAACTTAAAAAGGGAAGTATTTTCTTGGTTAGGTTAAAAATCACTTGTGTTTAACACATTTCCTCATCATTTCTGACACAGATGAAGAATACTTGTTTGGGATGTTCCATGTCACTGACACACATACTAAACCAGCCAGCTCTGGTCTATTCGGGGTTTGTTTTTGTTTTTGTTTTTTTGAGATGGAGTCTTGCTCTGTCGCCCAGGTCAGAGTGCAGTGGCATGATCTCGGCTCAAGGCAACCTCCACCTCCTGGGTTCAAGTGATTCTCCTGCCTCAGCCTCCTGAGTAGCTGGGACTACAGGCGCCTGCAACCACGCCCGGCTAATTTTTGTATTTTTGGTAGAGATGGGGTTTTACCATATTGGCCAAGCTGGTCTTGAACTCCTGACCTCGTGATCTGCTGGCCTCAGCTTCCCAAAGTGTTGGGATTACAGGCGTGAGCCACTGCACCTGGCCATATTCAGGGCTTTTACTTAACGGCAAGGCCGTGTGTGTGTGTGTGTGTGTGTGTGTGTGTGTGTGTGCGCGCGTGTGTGTGTGTGTGCCTTTGCCCCTCACTCTCCCTGATCTCTGTTCCATTTTATAGCCTACTAGAACCTCCCCAGTAGCACAGGAAAAAAAAAAAAAGCCCACTTATAATCCATTCTGGTATATGCTGCTTTTATTTCTAAACCAGTGGCTATACTAGTATCTGTGAATTTGATTAGCTCTGCTTGGCCCCATGACCACAGATAAAACAAAACTGGCTGGACTTCTGAGAAGTAAATTTCTTTGCCTTCTCCCTGCTTGTCAAGTGACCTCAGTAGCTTTTAACCAGTAGGCCTCTTTACTGAACAATCTGGAGGGTAACAGGTATGAACTCAAGTTGGGGAGAGTTCCCAGTCTCCTGCCCACTATGTCTAACTCTGTCACCCACAATGGATGCCTTCAACTTTCCTTAAATACAAATAGTTTTACTGCCATTATGGAGCTTTCTCACAGGGTCGGGTTTTGTTTGTTTGTTTTTTAACGTTTCATTATCTCATTAATCTTTTCTCCGTATTTTCCACAATGCTCTCGAAGTCTGAAACTCCAAACTGGAATGCAGAGTCTGGCACAGGCTCTTATAAAGCCCGGTGTGGGATACCCTCCCTCCCAGTTTCCACAGGGTCTACTTTCCTTGGTAGATCCCAGCACTCCAGCTGCCGTCTATGCACAGGCTGTACCTGCCAGCCTGCAGGGCAGCTGCTGACTCATGCTTGCTCTGGGATTTGCTTGGACCCCAGCCCTTCTGCTCTCCAGCCACAACAGCCACCACCCACCTCAGAGAGCACTCTATCCATCACCTTCTGGGGTCTCAGCTCTGACCTGATCAGTCCCCCACAGGTCTGCATTGCTTTACCTGGCCCTGCCCCGTCCCTGGCACCCACCTGGAAGACGTCGTTGGCACATTTGCGGCACAGGTTGTGTTGGCAGGGCAGGATCACCACTGGTTTGGAGAACATCTCCAGGCAGATGGGGCAGATGAGCTGCTTCTCCAGGTTGTCCATGCTGTGTGCATCCCCTAGCAGCGGCTTGAAACCCACTGTGAAGTTCATCCCCTCGGTGGTCGTGCCTGGCCTGGGCCCTGCTCCTGGCCTTCACTCACTGCCTGTAGACCCTTCCTCGCTTAGATGGCCTCTGGATTCCCTTCTGTGGCTCACTCTTGAAATAGCTCTGCTTTCTCTCCTGTCCCTTTAACAACTTGTCTCGTCCCAGATAGCAGTCTTCGGACAGTCTCTACTTTCTGCTCTGCACCCTCGCCAGGCTCACGTAGTTTTAGCTATCCCTCTCTCTCTGTAAAATTCTCCTTTTGTTTCCCAAATGACTCTCTCTTGTTCACTCTGTGGGTAGCACTGTTTGTCCCTTACTCCCCAGAGAGCAGATTAATTTTACTGTGGGGGTTGGGAGACAAGGGGCATCTGCATGACATTCCAATTCCCAATTTAGCTCATGTAAGGCGAGCCACAGCTGTCATGGAGTGAGTGACCCTGACTCACTCAGGAATGGGTGACTCCCTTGAGCAAGGGCAGGGGTGAGTGCCACTGCTTACAGTGAAAGGTGGGTCAGCAAAGGTGCTGCCCTCTCACTCTGAAGGCTCCTCTCAGCCCGGGACCCCTGTTCTGGCTTGGGCCCTTCTTCCAGGACAGTGACACAGAATCTAAATCTGCCTGTGTGAGAGGCACCCATACATAGCTCAGGGTGGGAGGAAAGATCTTGCCAGACTTAGAGTCAGTAGCGGTTGCCTCCTCCACAGGCTCAGCCAGTGACCCTGGTCCTCCTCCTCAAGACTGTGTGATTCAGAACAGCAGCTCCAGGGACTACATCAAGCCTCTTGTCCAACACCTCTGGCTCATTTTTGTTCTTCCCTGGCCTTTTCTTATATCACCCTAGGAAAAGAAGCTCAAGAGGCTAGAAATGACTGTTGTGCCAAGGCCTGGACCTACCTATGAGCATGCCCCCGAGGAAATGTGGGATTCTGGTCCGTGAACACATCCCTGGAGCCACTCCAAGGACTCAAATTTGTTAGGAAATTGGGAGAAGGTGAGCTGGGCAGAAAGGACCTGAATGCCAGGGACCTATTTTGGGCACCCAGGGAATCAATCTCCAGGGAAATTTTAGAGCACTGACAAAGTCATAATCACAAGGCTCCGGGAAGCCTCTGACCCAGCTCCACAGTTGTCCAGGACTCCTACTCTCCAAGCCAGGCTTGCCCCACTTGTGAGCACTGGTCTTCTTTTTCTCCTACAAGTCTTCTCCACTTGATCTTAGGCAAAAGGCCAAGAAGCAATTTCTTTAGGCCTTTTTTCTCTACCCCAGACACAATTTGTCTTTTTTGGGCATAATATATGCCTTGGGATTGGATGAAAGCTCTTTTATTTACTGACATTCTTTAGCCTTTCTCCTAGTCCAGGGAGAGAAGTTTGAGGAATTAGTAGGCTGTGACCCTGAGTGGGTGGGAAATACACGGTGTGAGGAGGATACGAAACAGCAGCACAAAGAGGCAAGAGTGGGAAAAGAGTCCAGAAAGTACAATCTTTTCCAGATCACATATTTCATGCCCCTATTTTTAAGAACAAATTATATGTCAATTGGCCTGCATAATATGTGAAAAGGATGGAGGCAAGCTGGCACTGATGTTTGAACTTCAGTTAACCTACAGGACCAAGGCTAATGCATGCTGTGCTGGTAGCTGAAGTCCAAGGATAATCTAAAGATGGAATGACTACCCCTAAGCCTCAAATGCACTCGCAGTTTTCCTGAGTTGACTCATAGTGGCATGGAATGAGGCTGGCAATGCCAATGGCCGTGGGCACCAGAAGATGAAACCAACTCCATACAGGCGTTATTGGCTTAGGAATGAGGCTGATGCTAGGGGTTCTTGGTACACAGAGTTGCAACAAGGGAGAATTAATGGGTGCAGCAGCTCCAGGGACAGGATCCACCCTGCTCAGTTATCAGGCTCTTGGTGGTGATATCGCAAGGGGCTCAGGGATCCTACCAGCTGGCATTGGTTCCAATAACAAGGCAGACACAGGAAAAAGACTCTTCAGGAAAAATCTGCCACCACTGCCTGAGACCTCATAAGGGGAGGGAGGGGAGGGCTGCTTTCTGACGGAGTAAAATTGGGACTGCAACTGAAAGGAAGAGTAGCTGGGCAACCCCATACAGAGTTGTGGTACCAAGGGTAGAGGTGATGTCCTTACTGGGATCAACGTCATCAGTGCTTCTGAAGAGATTCTTGAGATCCTTATAAGAAGAGGGGTCAAATCAGGGTCAATGTCAGGACAGGGCTACTTGCTCCTCTCTTCAATGTGTCCAGGGGACTGGGCAGCAGAAGGCACCCTCACTGGGTCAGCACCTAGTGGCGGAAGAAGGTGGCGCTTTATTAATCAGAAGGAATAATTACCTAGAACTTAAAGCAAACCCCTACATGTAAGGATATAAACACATAGTCCATACTATAAGGATGTAAACTTTCTACTAATGACTCATCTGACGTTAGCTTACATGCTTTTCTTATCTGATAACTGTTGCTGCCTTTCGGTTTACATACCTCATCCTTCTTCATCTCTTAAAAATCATCTTCGCTATTTTCCTCGCTTCTAAAATCACATTTGGCTCCTATGATGGAATTATATATATGTTTACATATACAAACGTTTAGTAACTTTTCGTAGTGTACTGATGAGAAAACCGTTACCTTGCAGTTACTCATTAGCATCACCAGGTGGCGCTGGTGTCAAGTTCAATCAGCTTATAAAAGTTCATTTGGGGGGGAATGATCTCAGACTTTCCTTTTCTTTTCTTCCTCTTCCTCTTCCCCTCCCCCTCCTCCTCCTTTCCTTCTTCTTCTTCTTCTTTTTTGATACAGGGTCTCACTCTGTCACCCAGGCTGGAGTGCAGTGGCATGATCACAGCTCACTGTAACCTCAACCTCCCAGACTCAAATAATCCTCCCACCTCAGCCTCCCCTGTAGCTGAGACTACAGGTGTGCACTGCCATGACCGGCTGACTTCTGTATTTTTTTTTTTTTTTTTGTAGATACTGGGTTTCATGATGTTGCTGAGGCTGGTCTCAAACTCCTGAGCTCAAGTGATCTGCCCACCTTGGCTCCCCAAAGTGCTGGGATTACAGGCACAAGCCACTGCAACTGGCCCTTTCCTTTGAGTAGATGGAAAAAATTGCATCCCGCCAGGCACAGTGGCTCATGCCTATAAACCCAACACTTTGGGAGGCCAAGGCAGGTGGATCACTTGAGGTCAGGAGTTGGAGACCAGACTGGCCAACATGGCGAAACCCTGACTCTACTAAAAATAAAAAATTAGCCAGCTAATTTTTTAGTAATCCCAGCTACTCAGGAGGCTGAGGCAGTAGAATCGCTTGAACCCGGGAGGCAGAGGTTGCAATGAGCTGAGATCGCACCACTGCACTCCATCCAGCCTGGGTGACAGACTGAGACTACATCTCAACACCACCACCACCAACAACAACAAAACAACAACAACAAAAATTGCATCCTCAAATCTGTCTTAACCTAACTGTCCTCTCTAGACATACTCTCCCACCCCATTCCTTAGCTTAACAGGAGCTGACACTACTACCTTCAAACTGTCAGTTTGTCGTGTGATGCACAGAAACATATTGATCTTTTTTTTTTCTTCACTTTGTCCCAGTGCCAGACTTGAAGACTTGAAATTGTCATATTTAGGGATTAACCTGCCATTTTCACAGGTCTTTCTCACCCTCAACCATTTCTTTCTTTCTTTTTTTTTTTTTTTTTTGAGATGGAGTCTCACTCTGTTGCCCAAGCTGGAGTGCAGTGGCATGATCTTGGCTCACGGAAACTTCCGTCTCCCGGGTTCAAGCAATTCTCCTGCCTCAGCCTCCTAAGTAGCTGGGGTTACAGGCGCCCGCCACCACACCTGGCTAATTTTTGTATTTTTAGTAGAGACAGGGTTTCACCATGTTGGTCAGGCTGGTCTCAAACTCCTGACCTCGTGATCCGCCCGCCTCGGCCTCCCAAAGTGCTGGGATTACAGGTTTGAGCCACCATGCCCAGCCTCTTTCTTTTCTTTTCTTTTTTTTTTTTTTTTTTTTTTTTTGAGATGGAGTCTTGCTCTGTCTCCCAGGCTGGAGTGCAGTGGCGCGATCTCAGCTCACTGCAACCTCTGCCTTCCGGGTTCAAGCGATTCTTCTGCCTCCTCAGCCTCCCAAGTAGCTGGGACTACAGGTGGGTGCCACCATGCCCAGCTAATTTTTGTATTTTTAGTAGAGACAGGGTTTTACCATGTTGGCCAGGCTTGTCTCCAACTCCTGACCTCAAGTGATCCACCCGCCTCACCCTCCCAAAGTGCTGGGATTACAGGCATGAGCCATTGTGCCCAACCCCAATCATTTCTTTCATTCCCAATCCAGACATTTCTTACCTCACAGTCCCTGCTTGCAGTTCTCACCTGACCTTGGAGGCTGACTCTGGACATTCTGCTGATATTTTCTCCCACTATCCTGCTCAGGTGGTGGTTTAAGTGCTCCACAGCAAAAACAGCAGCAACAACAGAAACAGCAACAAGTGAGCAGAGTACACAGGATGACAAGTGTCTAAAAGGTAGGCGAGAATGGCCTCAGTCCAGCAGTTTTCTATATGACTGCTCAAGCTTCCCTCCCTCAATCCTCCTGGCACCCAGAAAATGAGACAACAGAAGCATTTGTCATAAGGAAAGGAAGGTCACCCTTCTTTCCTTATTCTTAAAGGACCTGGAGAATTGTGTACCTTGAACCAACAACTATTCAGAATAAAATAGTATCTGACGCCTTCTTCACCAAAGTGATCATACAGATATATTCCCAATGAGCCATGCTGGTCGTAAATTTTCCGCTTCTTAGAGTCGCTCAGTATGGCATGAGCTGCGTTGATCTCTTTGAATATTTCTGCTGCTTGAGCATTCCCTGGATTCTTGTCGGGATGATACCGCAAGGCCAGTTTCCTACCCAGGTGATACTCAAAAGGAGGGTGGGGAAGCAATGCGGAATGGCTGGGGAAGGAGACTTACGATGAATGACATGGATTAGTCTCTAGAGAGTGCAGAAGGAATGCATGAGATGTGGTACAAAGGATGGAGGCAAGCATCCAAGGTCTAAACTCCTTCCCATACTATAATGAAGAGGGTGATGGTGCCATTTGGCCCCAAAGTGAGGGCTTGTTGGAACTTAAAAATGGGTCATAGGGCTGGGAGCACTGGCTCACACCTGTAATCCCAGCGCTTTGGGAGGCCAAGGTGGGCGGATCATGAGGTCAGGAGTTTGAGACCAGCTTGGCCAACATGGTGAAACCCTGTCTCTACCAAAAATACAAAAGATTAGCTGGGCATAGTGGCAGGCACCTGTAATCCCAGCTACTCGGGAGGCTGAGGCAGGAGAATCACTTCAACCCGGAAGGTGGAGGTTGCAGTGAGCCGAGACTGCACCACTGCACTACAGCTTGGGCAACAGAGCGAGACTGTCTCAAAACAAACAAACAAACAAACAAACAAACAAACGGGTCGTAGGCCAGGCACAGTGGTTCACACCTGTAATCCCAGCACTTTGGGAGGCCGAGGCAGGTAGATCACCTGAGGTCAGGAGTTTGAGACCAGCCTGGCCAACATGGCGAAACCCTGTCTCTACTAAAAATACAAAAATTAGCCAGGCGTGGTGGTGCACGCCTGTAGTCCCAGCTTCTCAGGAGGCTGAGGTGAGAGAATTGCTTGAACCTGGGAGGCAGAGGTTGCAGTAAGCCAAGATCGTGCCACTGCACTCTCAATAGTCTCTGTCTCTGCTCTGTGACAGGACGAGACTTCCTCTCAAAAAAAAAAAAAAAAAAAAAGAGTCAGATAGCAAAAGAGATACAGAAAGAAAAAGGTTTAAGGGGGAAATTCCAAGGATCAATAAAGGGCTGAGGTCTGAACCTGTAGGATTTTTTGAAGTCTTCAGGTGAGGCGCCCTTCTTAAGATCCAGCACTGCATAGAGGCTCATCTCACTTTTGGACAGCCGGTGTGCTGCTTCCTTCACAGTAGACATGATCTGAGCCAGAGGAGAAGCAGCATCTGTGAGAACTTCTACAAGTAAGGGTACCGAGAAGTGCACTTCCAGTGACAGGAAACTCACTACCTTCAGGGATTAGGCAGGTAAACGATGACAGAAGGACAAGGATAAGATAAGAGTGAGTGGGATTTGTGGCTAGCAGGAGAATTCAGGTGATCAGAAAGATTCCAATTTTAAGGAGGAAACATCTTCTCCTCACATTTCCCAGCATCCTCCAGCTACACAGACCTCTAGATATCCCACATCCTAGAGGTGTTGTAAGCAGGGAGAGGTCTAAGCCAGGAAAAGAGCCTGATTTTGTCTAGAGCTCCTATTACCTGGAGTAAACACCTCTGGGTCTGTCCAAGCTCACTGCTGGGTTTGAAAGACCAGGGCGGCCCCAGCCTGAACGGACAGGATCAGGAATCAGACAGCTCCACAACTTCTTCTTCTTTTTTTTTTTTTTGACGGAGTTTTTTGCTCTTGTTGCCCAGGCTGAAGTGTAATGGCGCGATCTCGGCTCACTGCAACCTCCACCTCCTGGGTGCAAGCGATTTTCCTGCCTCAGCCTCCCGAGTAGCTGAGATTACAGGTGCACGCCACCACGCCCGGCTAATTTTCTGTGTTTTTAGTAGAGACAGAGTTTCACCATGTTGGTCAGGCTGTTCTTGAACTCCTGACCTCAGGTGATCCACCCACCTCGGCCTCCCAAAGTCCTGAGATTACAGGCGTGAGCCATTGAGCCTCGCCGATCCACAGCTATTAAGAGAGAAACACTTCAGACCAAACCGTGTGAGGCCTAACAGAAGTCAAGTGTCCTAGAGCCTGGCGGGGGCGGGGGCGGGGGCGGGGGCGGGGGTGGGGAGTGCTTGCAGCTAGGCCTGGACTTGCTTCTTCCCTCCAGTCTCCTGCTCTCAAACCACCCCACTTCTGTCCCTCAGAGGTGGGACAGTGGGGAGAGGAGGAAGAGGACTCAGAGGCTGGAGAAGGAAGAGAAAAGGCGTTGCTGTGGGAAAGACCTGGCAAGGAAAAGGCAGCGGAACCCCAGAGAGCAGGGTAGACGCCTGCGGCCCAGGAGAACCGAGCAAGGCAAGGAGCTCAAAGGGAGAGCTCTGAGTGTGCAGGGCACCTCTGGCCCTGTGCCGACTCCTCACCTGGGTCTGGCCCTTTACCTGGGAGTCGTTCTCTTAAGCCAGGTGGGTGCCCTTCATCCTTTTGGGTGTGAAACTTCACACCGGCCGGGTCCAGCAGTTGACTGCGCTTGTGCGCAGCGTCGACGCTGAGGGTCTGGGCAGGTCGTTTTTTGGCGCCCCCGGAAGCACTGGGTGGGGAGGCCACATTGGCCCTGGGACTTATTTCGCGCGCAGGGAAGCGAGAGCGGAGGGCTTAGCAGGCCTGCGGCCCAAGGCAGCGTAGGAGCGTTGCTGCCAGGCCTTGGGGCAGGGATTCCCACCGAGCCCCTCTTCCCCAGCAGGAGGGCACCACCCATCTTGATGGCCCAACTCACTCCAGGAAACACAATGGGTTTGCTGACCGTGGCGGATGAGAGGTATGGCTGCTGCATGCCCTTCTTAAGAGGTGTGTTACCTTCCCAGTTGTCTTCAGGACTTAGGGCTCTCCGCTTGGTCCCTCCTTCTCTTCCACCCGGAAACACCTCCACAACCTGGAAGACCCAACTCATATGCCCCTGTTCCTGACACTCCATCATTCACTCTCCCAGTTGTTCCCACTTCGTCTGTCAAAGCATTTCTCCTAGTATATCGTAATGATGAGTTTGCACGTCTCATTAAAATGATGTATTGAGCCTTTTCCAAAAGTCACTACCGTGCTTCAAAAACGTCACTTAAATATGATGCCATCATGAGCATGTCCCATAATGTAACCCAACTTGGCTGTTTCAGTTGTTTCTATTTGATAATATAATAACCTTATAAGGAAAATTCAACAGAAATCCTTGAACAAATGTCTAATTTTTTTTCCTAAGGATACATTCTTAGAAGTGGAATTATTGGGTCGAAATGATTTTTTTTTTCTTTTTTCTTTTCTTTTTTTTTTACGCTCTTGATCTCTATTGCTAACTTTCTTCTGGAAAGGTAGCAGAAGGAGGATTTGTATCCCCACCTGCTGGCATGGGAGCATGCCTCTACCTGGCTTCCCTTCCTGTGAGTTTCTACAGGAGGTAGTGTTTGCATCACTTATAATTTACTACTTTGTAGTGCTGGTTTTCTTTGCAAGAGCACTCAATGGCTCCTGTAACATGTAGTAGAAAAAGCTTTGTTACTTGGAAAATGCTTATCTGTTAACCTTTTTGTAGCTTTTATCACTCTCTTCCTTTTATTACAGTTATTTGTGCACATTTTCCTCACCTTGTAGGTTTTTTTTGTTTGTTTTGTTGTGTTTTGAGGTGGAGTCTCACTCTGTCACACAGGCTGGAGTGCAGTGGCACAATGTCTGCTCACTGGAACCTCTGCCTTCCGGGTTCAAGTGATTCTCCTGCTTCAGCCTTCCAAGTAGCTGGGATTACAGGTGCCTGCCACCACGCCTGGCTAATTTTTTTTGTATTTTTAGTAGAGACGGGGTTTCACCATGTTGGCCAGGCTGGTTTCGAACTCCTGACCTCAGTGATCTACCCGCCTCAGCCTCCAAAAGTGCTGGGATTACAGGCGTGAGCCATTGCGCCAGCCCCCTTGAAGGCGTGAGCCATTGTGCCAGCCTCCTTGAAGCCATTGCGCCAACCCCCATTGCGCCAGCTCCTTCGAAGGTCACTCACCAAAAAAGAAGCTGAAGCTGATAATGTTTTTTGGTGGTTTGTCTCATGCCAAATTTCTTTAACCCCCAAGCTTTCATGACTCATGGGAGGACAGAACTAGCAGAACAAACCAGCTCATTTCTTCCCCAGCACTGGGTAGAGAGAGCAGAAGGCATTAGAGGTGCACTTGTAAATCAGTATTCCACCTCAAGAACCATCTAAGCAAACGAACTAAGGAGTCCATCTGTAGCAGACGTGATGACTGCTGAATTAATGAATTTATTTCTGTAGGCCTGTGGTCAGTGCAGGGAGAGGGGATGAAGACCTTTGCATTACCCACCTGGTCCATAGTCTCTGGGTCAGATGAGTTTAGAGGTCACTCACTTAAAAAGAAGCTGAAGCTGATAATTTTTTTATGGTGGTTTGTCTCATGCCAGATTTCTTTAACCCCCAAGCTTTCATGACTATCATGGGAGGACAGAACTAGCAGAACAAACCAGCTCATTTCTTCCCCAGCACTGGGTAGAGAGAGCAGAAGGCATTAGAGGTTCACTTATAACGAATTCCTTGCCTCAGTCTGTAAGACCCAGCGTGGTCCTGCCCCTCCCTCTCCAATCTTTTCTGGAACCACTGTCCTACTTGCTCTGGGCTCTGCTCCACCGCTTTCCTCTTTCCTGTTAGTTATTTGAAAACATCGTGTTCCCTCCCATTTCAAGAGTCTTTGACCATGTTGTTCCCTCTGCCTGGAGGGCTTGACCTCTCATCCTTCAGGGATCTCAGCTTCAGGCCTCCTCAGAGAGGCCTTCTAAACTGGGTTCTACTCCTCTCTCCTCACCTCATAACAGCCTGCAAATACACACACACACACACACACACACACACACTGTGTATATGTATCTATATCTATCCATATATATATATATATTTTTTTTTTTTTTTGAGAC
Source organism: Homo sapiens (assembly GCF_000001405.40). NCBI lineage: Eukaryota > Metazoa > Chordata > Mammalia > Primates > Hominidae > Homo > Homo sapiens. The sequence goes on along the minus strand of NC_000002.12, from coordinate 27,273,032 downwards.
AAGGTCTTAGTCTGGAGTGCAGTGACACAATCACAGCTCAGCAGCCACAACTTCCTGGGCTCAAGCCATCCTCCCACCTCAGCCTCCCAAGTAGCTGGGACTAAAGGCATGCACCAGCATGCCCAGCTAATTTTCATATTTTTGGTAGAGGCAGGGTTTCATCATGTTGCCCAGGCTGGTCTTGAACTCCTGAGCTCAAGTGATCTGCCCGCCTCAGCCTCCAAAAGTGCAGGGATTACAGGCGTGAGCCACCACGCCCAGCTGGTGAACATATGTTTATTTGCATATTGATTTAAAAGCTGCTGTTGGCCAGGCGCAGTGGCTCATGCCTGTAATCTCAGCACTTTGGGAGGCCGAGGCGGGTCGATCACGAGGTCAGGAGTTCAAGACCAGTCTGGCCAACATAGTAAAACCCTGTCTCTACTAAAAATAAAAAAATTAGCTGGGTGTGGCGGAGGTTGCAGTGAGCCGAGATCGTGCCATTACACTCCAGCCTAGGCAATAGAGTGAGACTCCGTCTCAAAAAAAAAAAAAAAAATAGCTGCCTTCCCCAGGTGACAGCTCCACGAGGGCAAGGACCTTGTTTGTTTGTTGACCATTGTATCCCCAGCACCTAGAGTCATGCCTGGCTCACGTGAGTGAATGAATGATTTCTTGAATGAGCTATAGCTGAGGGCCGTCTGCTGATCCAATGTAACCTGGAGGTTGGGCTCAGAATTCCCTGGGACAGAAGCACTTAGCTAGGGAATTGGACAAGACTACAGGGCCCATCTTCCCTCATATGGTCCTAGACAAGAAGAAACCATGATACAGAAAGGTGAGAGGGGAGATAATAACGTGATCCTGAACTCCCCGTTTCTTATTTGCCTTAGTATTCCCTCCAGTTCCTAACACACTTCCTGTGTTCAGTAAATGTTGGTTGGTTGAATGAACAAGCAAAAGTGTGAGGCTTTTCCGAGACACTCCTACCTAATTATCTCTTTGGATCCTCACAACAACCCAAGAGGCGATTGCATCCCTGCTTCATAGAAGTGAGCCCTGAGAAAGAAGGCAAATTCGGTTCTGAGAAGAGTTAGTAAACACCTTTCGCATCTTGACAGAGGCTGCAGAATGTTTTCACTTCTTATCATGGCCCTCTGACATTCTAACTAATCACAGTTCATGGCTCTTGAAATAGCCGTTATCTGTAAGTCTTGCGAGGCTCTGCTCTGAATAGAATGTCACTTCAGCCAGGAAGCTGCAGAGGTGGGAGTAGCACGGCCCAGTCGGCCTGGCCTCCTTTGGCCAGTGGCTCTCCTCTTTGCCTTTACCTAGAAACCAGAGCCTCTTTGACTGAGTGTTCTATGCCTGGGCTCTTCTCACACGCAGCTCAGTCCTAGGAAGAACACACAAGCCAGGGGTCAGAAGCCCTAGATCTTAGCTCTGGCTCTGGCCCTCACAGGCTGTGTGATCTTAGACAAATCATTTCATCTCTGAGTCTATTTTTCCTCTTCTATAAAAACCTGTGCCATTTCACAGGGTTGATGTCAAGACTTAATTGGATTTGGTTTTAAAAAGAATGAAAGTAAAAAACCAAAAATAACTGCCAAAGAATGATTACAGACTAAAACCATTTCTTGGATCATTTGCCCTCCCATCATACCTTGAGTCAGTGATCTTTTTGTTTACTACCACTCAGAGCCATTTGGTCTCTCATGGAGAAAACGAAGAAGCATCCCTTGTTTACCCACAAACAACTAAAGTTTTAGTCATATAGCTGGAATACACACACATACAGACAGCAGACATTGGCATATTTATACCCAAAATACCACGCTCTGGAACATATGCAGTGGGAGAGAGAGAGATCACAATTTGTCACATTCAACCACCAGGTTCTCAAATTGTACAGTTTTTGAGCTGGAAGGGACCTCAGAGATTTAACTTGAATCCAACGCCTTCATTTTATAATTGAAGAAAGTGCAGCCCAGAAAGGCGGATTGACCTGCTTAAGGTTATCTAGTGAGATCTGACCTGAGTTTTCTGACTCCAAGTTCAGTATCTACACCGTGACTGTTCCTTCCTACTTTAAAGTCCAAATCTACAGACAGACCAAAGCTGTGGGGGATATTCACATCCTCTCATGGGTGATGTCAGGTAATGTTCCTCTTTCCCCTCCCCCAGCAGAAGGCATGTATACTACATGTGACCAAAACCACCACCACCCACCCAATTGTGTTTGCCTCTGCTTCCCAGGCCAGACATCTCAGGATGGGAGGTGGAAGACTTTCAGCTAGAAAGGAGACTGCTTCATGTCCCTGTCCTCTCTGACCTGCAACCCCAAACTTTGCAGACCCAACACTAGGCTAACAGCACCTGTCTTACCTGTAAACTGGAGATAATAGTGTCTGTCTCTTCGGGTTGTTATGAGGATTAAATTTGAATAAAGCACGAGGCACATGCTTTATTATTATTACTATTGTTTTTATACTAGCTATTTCTATCCTATCTCCTGATTTTATAAGGAGAGAGGTTGCATTTCATTTTGTCGCTGGGAAGAAAGGAAAAATCAGGGTCCTTCCCCTCCCCTAAGATTTGCAAATTGTTATTGGTGTCTTTCCATGCTTCTACATCCTTCTCCTCAGCCTCTTAGAACCCCATTTTCTTGTTCTCCTACCCAGTGCCGTCATGCTGCCCTCTGGCTATCCAAAACACCGCCCCCAGTCCTCCCAAGCAGCCAGAACTCCAAAATTACCACTCTCATTTCCTCTGTTTTAATACTTCTAATAAAAACTATTGCCTTCATAGAATGATCTCATCCCTCAGGGTAGATAGAAAGCAATCTTATTAAAACACTGTAATTTAGATTATAGTGAAAAAATAGTTAATACCTCACCCTCTTAATTGTTATTAATTGTCATTAATGCAAAAGGAATAACAGATAAAATTTCAGGCAGAATGACTAAATGGAGTGAAAAACATCAGGTTATGTTTTGGGAAGAGACTTTGGCCCTTAAATCACTTCTTTCTGTTTAACCCACCAACTATCTTCTCATTTATTGAGCTCTGCACATTTCTCTGGTTCTCTTCCTACATCTCTGATACATTTGCTGTTTCCCTTACTGGGTCCTCTTCCTTCTCTTATGTCCTGACTGGATTTTCTTTTCTTCTTCTTCTTCTTTTTTATTTTTTGTTTTTGAGACAGTCTTGCTCTGTCACCCAGGCTGGAGTAGAGTGGCATGGTCTCGGCTCACTGCAACCTCTGCCTCCCGGGTTCAAGCAATTCTTCTGCCTCAACCTCCTGAGTAGCTGGGATTACAGGTGCGCACCACCATGCCTGGCTAATTCTGACTGTGGATTTTCTCTGCAGTTTGGTCCTTAAGCTTCTGCTTGTGCTCTTTCTTCTCTTCTTTAGAGAGTCAGTCTACACCCATGGCTTCTGCTGTCACAACTGTGCTTTGGTGTCATCCACATGCCAGTGTTCCATTGCCTCAAAACCACACTCCATTGGATGCCACATGCAGGGTTTGTAAAAAAAGAAAAGAAAGGCCAGGTGTGGTGGCTCACACCTGTAAGCCCAGCACTTTGGAAGGCTGAGGCAGGCGGATCACGAGGTCAGGAGATCGAGACCATCCTGGCTAACACAGTGAAACCCCGTCTCTACTAAAAATACAAAAAAAATTAGCTGCGTGTGGTGGCACATACCTGTAGTCCCAGCTACTCGGGAGGCTAAGGCAGGAGCATCACTTGAACCCGGGAGGCTGAGGTTGCAGTGAGCCGAGATCGTGCCACTGCACTCCAGCCTCGCAACAGAGCAAGACTCTGTCTCCAAAAAAAAAAAAAAAGAAAGAAAAAGAAAAAGAAAAAAAAAACCACACTCTAAAATCTGAATTCATCATTTGCCCCCAGACTATTTTTTTTGTTTGTTTCTCCATTTCTGTTAATGTTACGACTATTTGTAAGACTGTAGACTCATTCTTTTCCCCAAATTTAGGAAAACTTGATAATTTTTTTTCAAAATCTCTCTTTCATTTGTCTCTTCTTCTCAGCTCCCACAGCCTTGATGCACCCCAGTTAAAGGATTTCCATATCACACTGGCTGGTGTCCTAGTCTCCTAACTTTTCTCCCCGTTGCTGGCCTCATCCTGGATACTGCTCCCAGATCACTGTTCTTAAAGCATGCTTCCATCTTACTACTTTGCTCACAGCATCACACAGGATGCAAAACCACCTTTGAAATCTGGCAGTGAACGCTGACCTTATGCCAATTTACCCCTTCAAACTCATTGTCTACTATTGTCCTAAAGTGAACCTTTCTTTTTTTTTTTTTTGAGACAGAGTCTCGCTCTGTCACCCAGGCTGGAGTGCAGTGGCACAAGTTCACGCCATTCTCCTGCCTCAGCCTCCGGAGGAGCTGGGACCACAGGCGCCCGCCACCACGCTTGGCTAATTTTTTGTGTTTTTAGTAGAGACGGGGTTTCACTGTGTTAGCCAGGATGGTCTCGATCTCCTGACCTTGTGATCCGCCCACCTCGGCCTCCCAAAGTGCTGGGATTATAGGCGTGAGCCACCGCCCCCGGCCTAAAGTGAACCTTTCACAGCAATCAAACAGGTCTCCGCACTAAATATTTCTGTTTTTCTTCACCTCTGTACCATTGCTGTCACACCATTTCTCCACATAAACTGTTCTTTTCCTTAATCAATTCACTTACTCAACAAATATCAACCAAGCACTGATATATGCCTAGTACCTTGGATACAATGATAAGTGGTCAAACTCTTTTTCTTCCCTCATAGATTAGAGCCTAATATGGGAGACAGAGTTCATTAAGACCTTCAACAAATATTTACTGGGTACTATTATGTACAGTACAGTACTGTACAGTACAGAACAGTATCCCTGTTCTGGGGATATAGCAGCATGTAAAACAGACAGAATTTCTGCCATCATGGAGCTTACATTCTGGCAAGAGGGGCAGACAGTAAACAAAATGAGTAAAATATGCAGTATGTTAGATGGTAATGATGGCTATGGAGAAAAATAAAACAAGGAATAGAAATAGAGAATGTCTAGGGAGAGGTTTCAGTGTTTTTTTGTTTTTTGAGTTTTTTTTTTTTTTGAGATGGAGTCTTGTTTGTTGCCCAGGCTGGAGTGCAGTGGCAAGATCTCGGCTCACTGCAACCTCCGCCTTCCAGGTTTGAGTGATTCTCCTGCCTCAGCCTCCAGAGTAGCTGGGATTACAGGCACATGTCACCACGCCTGGCTTATTTTTGTATTTTTAGTAGAGACGGGGTTTCCCCATATTGGCCAGGCTGGTCTCGAACTCCTGACCTCAGGTGATCCACCCACCTCGGCCTCCCAAAGTGCTGGGATTACAGGCGTGAGCCACCGCATCCAGTCAGGTTGCAGTTTTTAAACGGACAAGCAGAGAGGGCCTGGCCAGGTGATATTTGAGTCAAGACCTGAAGCATGTGAGGAGGTAGGTCATGAGCACATCTGGCAGAGTGCATTACAGCTGGTGAGATAAGCAAATGTGAAGGCCCTGGGGTGGGAGCATACCTGGTGTGTTGTAGGACTCACAAGAAGGCCAGGATGGCTGGGGAATGAGGTGGGAGAAGTGTGAAATGAGATCAGAGGAGCTAAATTCCGTAGGACCCCTTGCAGGCCATTAGAAGGACTCTGGCTGGTACTCTGAGTGTGATGGGGAGTGACAAATCTGATCTATGTTTACCTAACTGCTTGGTTGAGAATAGACTATAAGGCAGTAAGGATGGAAACATGGAGACCATGGAGGAGGCTATTGCAGTAATCAAGAAGACAGATGATAGTGGTTTGGACAAGGGCGGGATCAGGATTTGCTGACAGCTTGGATGTAGAGTGAAAATAGAGGAGTCGAGGATGACCCTAGGATGTCTGGCCTGAGCAGATGGGAGGATGGAGTTACCATATTCTGACATGGGAAGACTGCAGAAAGAGAAGGTTCAGGATGGCGTGACAATCAGGGGCTCAGTTTTAGACTTATGGAGCTTGATAGGCCTGCCTACCAGACAATAAGGAAGGGATGTCAAGCTGACATGTGGATATATGAGTTTGGAGTCCAAGTGAGAGATCTGAGAATCACCACCAAACACATGACATTTATTATTTATTTATTTATGAGATGGAATCTCACCTGTCATCCAGGCTGGAGTGCAGTGGCATAATCTCAGCTCACTGCAACCTCTGCCTCCCGAATTCAAGTGATTCTCCTGCCTCAGCCTCACAAGTAGGTGGGACTATAGGTGCATGCCACCACACCCAGCTAATTTTTGTATTTTTTAGTAGAGATGGGGTTTCACCATGTTGGCCAGGATGGTCTCAAACTCCTGATCTCAAGTGATCTGCCTGCCTCGGCCTCCCAAAGTGCTGGAATTATAGGTGTGAGCCACCAGCCAGGCTATTTTTAATCCTTTTTAATAGAAAAATTCAAACCCATACAAAAATAGAGAGAATGGTACAGTGACTCTCTATGTACCCAGAATCTAGCTTCAACAATCATTACTTTCTGCTGTTATTGGATAGTATTTAAAGACCAGAAACTGGATGATAGCTCCATGGGAGTGAGTGTGGAAAGAAAAGAGAAGAGAGTGACCAAGGCCTAGGCTAATTCAGCAAGAAAAGATTGAGAAGGTGGGGAGGAACCAGCAAAGGGGACTGAAAATAAACAGCCAGTGAAGTAGGAGGAAAACCAGATTATGGTAGCCTGGAAGCCAAATGATGAAACAAATAATTCCCAAGTAACAATTTAGTTACAGTATGATCAGTGCTGAAAGAAATAAACAGTGTGTTGACCCAGCATGGTGGCTCACACCTGTAGTCCCAGCACTTTGGGAGGCTGAGGCAGGAGGATCACTTGAGTCCAGGAGGTCGAGGCTGTGGTGAGCCATGTTTGTACCACTGCACTCCAGCCTGAGCAACAGAGTGAGACCCTGTTTCCAAAAAAAAAAAAAAAAGAACAAAACAGAAAAAGTATTGTGCGATGAGAGTGTATGACATGAGAATTAACTTAGTGTGGGGGCCAGAGAAGGCCTCCCCGAGGCAGTGACATTTAAGCTGTTGCCCTCCCTCATTCTCCCTGTGACCAGCTAAAATCCTACCTCCTCCATCCTGCTTCCACTCAACTAGCTCCTCCTTTCTGGGATGGCTTAATTGAGGACAGTGTGGCAGCCATTAGTGGGGTTTGGGGACACAGATGAGAAAGAAACAATTCCTGCCTTCAGGGAGCTTGCCCTGTAGCAGGGAGACAGACAAGCAAAGGACTTCATCACCATGAGGTGAGTGCTGGGATCAGATAAGCACAGTGTGAGCCTTGAGAGAAGCAGGGAGGGACACATACCCAGTCTGGGAGAAGTCAGGAAAGGCTTCCTGGAGGTGACATCTGAGTGGAGCATGGAGTAGAAGTTGGACCTCCAGGTTGCCTCCTCTGTCCATGCTCTTCAGCTTGGCTTGCACTTGTCAGGTGTTAACTCTTGTCCACATGCTTACATTTTAAAATTTGCCTGAAATCTCCAGCCCAGATTAAATCCTGACCTCAGTGCAGAGAATCGCACTTGAGGCCTGGCATTCGCGAGGACCCTTTGCAAAGATGTTCACAGGGCCATTTGATAGCTCTTTGAGGAACAGGTGGAAGCATCCTGTTTCGCCGCCAAGCTTTCCTTACATAAATTTTCAAGTGAAGGTTGGTATTCCCACCGCCGGCGCCCTCGGTTTCTGGAGGCGGCACGTTTGGCCACGCGCTGCGAGGCGCCTCTGCCTTCCCCGCCTGGTGGCTCCCGGCAGGGGCGGGCAGGGCACGTGAGGGCGTCTGCGCCCCCTCCTGGCACTCGGTGCTGCTGGCCGCGCGGGCTGCCCGGGAAGGGAAATCCCGGAGGAAGCCATTGTTGTTATGTCCCCTGTTGTCGTCATCGGCTGAGCCGTGCCAAGAATCCCTTTCCCCGCATAGGACCCCGCAGTTTCTCCCCATTCTCGAGCTCACCCGCCAGGGTCACTACGGGCCAGGCTGCCGCATCCGAGCCGCGGAGTGCGCGGTGGCCGCTGCGCATCCCAGCTCCAGGGTTCTCAGAATTGGGGAGAGCCCTAGGATGGGTGCGACGCTTAGAAAACCGACGGCGCCGGGCCCGACGTACCCAGAGCCCTGGCATAGCTAAGCAGGGACTTGGGTTCCACCTTGGCTCTGATAAGTAGCCCGAAAAGGTGAACTTGGCCGGTGGTTTCCTGCTCTCGCCGCCTCAATTTGCTTCCCTGTGACCCGAGGAGAAACAGAGGTCCGTCAAGTCCCGCGCCTTAAAGGGAGGTTAGAGGGAGAACGACCCCCTCGCTCCCTTACCCCCTCACCCCTCATGGGCTTTGGACTGGGGAGGCTGGGGGCTGGCGCGGAGGAGAGGCTGGCGCAGCCGGGGGTGGGGACGGCGCGGAGGGCGCGCGCAGCCCCTGTGGCTCTCCCGTGCCGCTCTGCAGCAGCGGCGCAGGACAGTCCCTTCGCACGCGCCGCCCGCACACCTTGGCACGGGCCAAGCCACACTCTCCCCCGCCGGAACAGCCAGCCCGCCGCCCAGCTTTCCTAATCCGTTTAAGCCTCACCTCCTCCGCGAAGCTCTCCCGGGTTAACCCCATCACTTCCAACCACTGTATCTGGCACGTGCTCCCGTTTTTGTTTTGTTTTGTTTTGTTTTTTTGCAAGTGCACTCTTGGGCTCGTTGGAATAACAATATCGAGGGTAGGTGTCTGTCCCCAGAAGCCTAAGTTCAGGACGCCCAGTGTGTTCTGAAGGATGCGGCTGATGAGTTTCTTGCCTGGGCTCACTAACCATTCCCACCCTCCACGCTTCCCCATCCCTGCTCACTCGCTCCCCTCCTCCTACGGACCCTCCTCTTCACAGACTGTCACAGCTTCGAGTGCACAATCCTCTTCCCACCCCCTCCCATTCTACAGTGGCGGCAGGTGCGAGGGGAGAGAACATTGAGCATTTGAAGCTTCGACTTGAGGCTCGGCCACCGACTTTGCTGTAAGTCGCTCCCTCCCCTGGGTTTTAGTTTCCCCCAAATGAGGCAGAATGCGGTAATGTCCAGGAGGGCGCTGCAGGTGTGGAGGATGGGAATCACTAGCTGACACGCTGCCCCGCTGCCCCTCAGCCCCTCTCCATAAACAGTGGCCGTGACACCAGATAGGCGGCTCGACTTCACTGGACCCCCGCCCGTAAGAGAACTGTGAGCGCTCTCCAGTTGCCAGTGCGGCGTCCAGAGCCGGGGAGGGAAAGAGGATGGGGGTCCAGGCCGGGCCCTTTATTCACAGCCTGCATGACCTTGGACTCTTCTTCCTCTGGGTCTCAGTTTACTCATTTGAAAAGCAGGGATAACAGTGGGTTGAAGGAGAGCAGGAAGCTTGTCACCCAATGTTTCTGTATAAAAATAAATGATCATTCGCGGTACAGTGATTGGCAGCAGACTGGGCTCGTGAATTCCGACCCCAGATTCTCCGTAAAGGGGTTTCTGGAGTCCCTGGAATCTCCCTGTGTCACCGCTCACCTCATGTTCTTTCTGGTTCTCTGGAGATAGGTAATGGGTCCGCTCCTGTTTCTGCCTCCGCGTGAGGGTTGCGGCCACAGGGTGACGGCGTGGTGGGCGACACCCCCGCGCAGGCATGCACAGAGTGGTGGTCGTTGGGCGAAGGTTGGTCGTGAGGTTCTTGGGCTTCAGGAGCGAGGCTTGGAACCGGTGGGCGGGACTGTGTGCAGAGGTGGGGCTAGCTCGCCTGGGGGACGGGGCTGTGGAGATGAGGAGTTCTCCAGAACTCGGGTGGCGGGGCGCTCCCGGGCTCTGGCGCGGGGAAATGGGGCTTTGGCAGTGGGGGCGGGGCTTAAGGGTGGGGAGAGGCCGGGGAGCCTGGAGGCGGAGCTTGGGGAGCTCGCCCCACGCGGGGCGGGGCTCCGGCGGCAGCGGGATCTGCAGTTCGGACTCCGCGCGCCACAGTCGCTGCAGTTCGCTCCACTCTGGTGGCCCCGCCGCCCTGCGGGGATCCCGGGGGTCGGCGGGCTGCTCGGACTTGGCGCGGGGCCGGCCCGGCCTCTCTCTTCCTCGGTGGGGCCTAGACGGTCGGGGCACCGGGAACATGGAGCCCTCTCCAGCCGCTGGGGGCTTGGAGACCACTCGCCTGGTGAGCCCCCGGGACCGCGGTGGCGCCGGAGGCAGCCTGCGTTTGAAGAGGTAGGACAGACCTGGGCTGGCCCTCGGCCCGGGGGCGCCACCCTACTACCCTCCGTCCATTTCGTTGTCTCTCTCGGCGCGGGCCCCGGCGGCCGCCCCAGCGCACCGCGGGTCCCTCGCTCCGCTGCACCCCGCTTCATCCCCTCTGGCCACACGGAGCGCCCAGCCCTACACAGCCGGCTACGCCTCCTCCCGGCCGCCTGACTTCCTCGGGTGAAGCGGCCTCTCACTCCCCTCCGGCCGGCGTCCCAGGCCGCCGGACCCCTCCGCCACCCCCGCGGCGCCTGCCTTCCCTGGGAGCAGCTGCCGCTCGGTCGGGCCGGAGCCCTCGCCCGGTGCGCCAAGGTCCGCATTGCCCCGGGCCCAGGGCGGGAGCGCCTCGCTGCCCAGGCTTCAGAGCTCCCTCTGTAGGCCCCGGGGGCTCCCCTCCGCGCGCCCCCTCCAGCCGCGGCCAGCTGTGGGCGCCGGGGCCCGAGGATGGGCCGGGCTCCGCGCGGGTCTTGCGGGCCCCTGGGGGGCGGGCGGCCGCCGGGAAGCGAGGGGGCGGCGAGGAAGGAGCAGGTGCGGTCTGGGCAGCGGGGGTATTCCCGGCTCCGCACAGACGGGGCCGGGGGCGGCGAGGTGTGAAATGAGGCGCGCGGAGCGGCCGGGACAGCGGGCCGGGGGTGGCAGGAGAACCGCCAACGCGCCCCGCCGGCCCCCGCGCCTGCCGCCACCGTCCACCTGCCCCTCTGAGCGGCCGTCCGACCTCCCTGCCCACCCCCGTGGGCCATCTTGTCTGTCGGCTGACCGTCCGTTTGTCTCCGGAATTTGGCAGGGTCTCCGGCTTTTTCTCTTCCCCCACCTCTCTCAATCTTTCTGTTTCTCTCCTAGTCCCTTTCCCTTTGTCTCTGACGTGGTGCTTCTGTGTGCTTCTCGCTCTTTCTTTGGGTGGGGGCCTTCAAGCTGGGTTGGGGGAGGGGGTGAGCAGAAGAGAGCTGGACCCCTTCCTGCAGGGGCCTGCAGAGACGCGGTGGGGGCTCTGCCGTAGGCCTGGCATCTCTTCAGGTGTCCTTTTGATTTTGGTTCAGCCCCTGCTACGTCACCCCTCTTCCCCGCTCAATATCGGTTGTTGGTTGGGGGTTTCGGAGGGCCAGGGAGAGGAAACAGCCTTTCCTTGTCTCTAAACAGCATGTAGCCACCCCACATGCCCACACCCCCACACACCAACAGCCAGGCTTCCTTAGTGCCCAAATTATGCAGAACAAAAGGGAGCAGCCTGTTGATGGGTGGCCACCTTGATGACTGGCTGTGCTGTGCCTTACAAGGCCAGGGAATGAATGTTGCCCACTGCCCCCAAAGCCACCCAGCCTCTGCGCTTCAGACTCACATCTCCAACTCCAGTCCATCTTCACTCATATGACCATTAGTCACCGAATCCTGCAGCATTTTCTGAAAGGCATTTCCTAACCTACCTGCCCCTCCAGGGAAGCTCTGGCCTGGTTTGTTCTAGACCCCTCCATTTCCTCTCTTCTCCTCTCTTCCTCCCATCAGCAAGGTCATCTCAGTGCTCAGGAGATATTTGTTCAAGCAGTCAGTGTATCTCCCTTTATGTTCCTTTGAGCCCATCACTTTCCTCCTCAGCCCTCCCCTGACACTTCACGCTTAGACTCCAAGCCACAAACCTCGTCTTTGTCATTCTACATGTCTGGAACACCCTTCTCCAACTAGGTCTCATCTCCTTAAACATACCTTTCTCTGTGAAGTTCTCCGAGCCCGCTGTGAGGGAGTGCTCCCTTCCCTGCACCCCAAAGTGCTTTGTTCATAACCCTCCTAGCATCAACCTGTCCTTATGTAGTAAGCCATTTGTTACAATCTGTCTTTCCCACCAGACCAGGCTTCATTATGTGTGCTCTGCCTGGTGCACCTCATTGAATGAATGAGGATCGGTTTCACAGCCTCCTTCACCACGCCATCTCCTCTGGAAACACATCCAGAATCATACACGCCCAGATTCTAAGTCTTGGATGGGGCTTTGGAAATTCAAGAAATTAATCTACCAGTATTTCAGTTCTCTGTACAAGCACCAAATGTTCCCCCTACCTCCCTCAAAACTCAGTTCACCCACTTGGCAGAATTGTCTTTAGCCAGAAGGCCCCAGACATCCCGCCCCACTTTGCTGCTATGATCACATTTCTATCTGGAGCCATCGTTTTTACTTGTGGGTATTCTTGTCACACCTCCATGAGTATTTCTAGTACTGTATTTTCTATTCAGGTCCTGAATTCTGTGGAAAATTCTGTCCTTGCTGGGTTCAGGTTGGGTAGTGGTGGGGCTGAGAATTGGACCAGAATGGACTTAGCACTCAGCCTGACCTCACTCAGCCTCTGGCATCCCCAGGTGAGGTCCCAAGCCCCATTCATTTGTCAAGGGAGACTTATGGTACCATGCAGTTAAGGTGGGCTCTGCTGGGTGCTTATAGTCGGACTGAAGTCCAATTAACATGCTCCTCCCACTGCCATCCTCAGCCATAGCAGGCTGCACCCCTTCCTCCCATGACAACCCCAGCTCTGGAATCTAGCCATCAGTTCTCTGTGCCCGGAATCAGACTTTTTGGCCCCAATGTCCCGCTCGTCTCTTAAAGGGCCACACTTCAGCTTCATGTCTAGGGAGGGCGGGGGCAGGATCCAGGAGTGGAGGTTCTGGGAGGTGGGCCTGGAAAGGAGGCACACCAAGGCCAGGAACACATGCTGAGTCCCACTCCACACTTCACTCCACCTTCCCTTCATACTGCCTTGGCGTGCCTGGCATAGCATTCACCTGTCTTTATCAAAATCCTTCCCATCCTTCAAGGCCCTTCTCATGTTACCTCTTACAGCTGTTTCCCTGATTTCCTCGTTATAATTAGTCTGGCCCTCCATCCTCAGAACCCTGATAGCACTCTAACTGCCCTAATGACAGTGGCCACCTTCGCTCTATATCATTGTGTAGGTACATGCTTGCCCTGTTCACCAAAAGCTCTCAGAGATCAGTAGGAATCCTGCTCATTTTGGGGTGCCTAGCATAAGAAATTGGTTGGGGTCTAGTCTCAGCTCTAGCAACTAACTGGGTTGGCCTCCATGTGTCCCCCAACTCTGTGAGCCTCATGCCTCTAATTTATTTAATAAAATGTTAGATGAGAGCCGGGTGCGGTGGCTCACACCTATAATCCCAGCAACTCAGTAGGCTGAGGTAGGAGGATCGCTTGAGGCCAGGAACTCAAGTGTGCAGTGAGCTCTGATCACACCACTGCACTCCAGCCTGGGCAACAGAGCAAGACCCCATCTCTTTTTTTTTTTTTTGAGACAGTCTCTCACTCTGTTGCCAGGCTGGAGTGCAGTGGCACGATCTCGGCTCACTGCAACCTCCAACTCCCTGGTTCAAGTGATTATCCTGCCTCAGCCTCCCAAGTAGCTGGGATTACAGGCACGTGCCACCACACCCAGCTAATTTTTGCATTTTTAGTAGAGATGGGGTTTCACCATGTTGGCCAGGATGGTCTCGATCTCCTGACCTTGTGATCTGCCTGCCTTGGCCTCCCAAAGTGCTGGGATTACAGGTGTGAGCCACCACTCCCGGCCAACCCCATCTCTTAAAAAAGTTAGACTAGACCGTCTGTAAGGTGCTTTCCAGCTGTGAAATTCTATGGCTCTGTGTATGGAAGGAAAAGGGAGGCTGGGCTCTGACCTGTTCATTTAGCCCCGGTCTCTCATGTGGCCCTCTGCCGATGCAGCTCCCAGATACGACCAGGCCTGGGGAAGGAGATGGTCTGATGAGGCCAGCACTGGGGACTAAGGACGTGGAGTGAGCAGGCCAGCCTGTGGGCCAGGCCCAGGTTGAACCATGTTGCTTGCCTCAGTCTCTTCACAGAGCCCTCAGAGCCCCTCCCTGAGGAGTCCAAACCTGTGGAGATGCCCTTCCACCACTGCCACAGGGACCCCCTTCCGCCGCCGGGCCTTACCCCTGAGAGGCTGCATGCACGGAGGCAGCTATATGCTGCCTGTGCCGTTTGCTTTGTCTTCATGGCTGGGGAGGTGGTCGGTAAGTTGGGGAGCAGCCCTTAAACCCCATTCTCCAAATACCTGCCCAAGCCACTCTCCACCCAGAGTCCCAGGAATGTTCCTGGGTGCAGATGCAGAGATGGGGATGGCTGGGATAGGGGAGCTGGGTGCCCAGGACTCAGGAAGTAGGAGGGATAAGGGACAGCAACAAAGGGAATTCCAGCCGAGGTCCGGGGCCAGTAGGTCAGGGCTGACTTCTTTTAAAAACCCTATTTTCTTGTTATTAAAATAAATCATTGTAGAAAATAAAATACAGATGAATGAAAAAAATAACATAACAGTAGTTAATTATACCTGTAGTCCCATCACCTGAGAAAACCCCAAATCACATTTTTGGTGTATATCCCCCAATTTATTTTCCATGCCTATACACACTACATGATATTTTCTAAATGGAAGCAGACTCCATCATTTCACCCTGGCAGGCGGGTATCTGGCACACAGCCTGGCCATCATGACCGATGCAGCCCACTTGCTGGCGGATGTGGGCAGCATGATGGGCAGCCTCTTCTCCCTCTGGCTCTCCACCCGTCCAGCCACCCGCACCATGACCTTTGGCTGGCACCGTTCAGGTAAGGCCCCTGCATGGCCCAGTGACTCTCCAATCTTGCCAGAGGGCACCCGTCAGGGTCCCAAGCAGGTCTCTGACAGCTTGTCTCCCCCCCCACCCGCAGAGACTCTGGGGGCTTTGGCCTCTGTGGTCTCCCTCTGGATGGTCACTGGCATCCTCCTGTACCTGGCCTTCGTCCGCCTGCTGCACAGCGACTACCACATCGAGGGGGGTGCCATGCTGCTGACCGCCAGCATCGCAGTCTGTGCCAACCTGTTGTACGTCCCAGTATGGAGCAGGCACCTTGTGGGGCCCAGGGCGAGGGGTCTTCCTCCAGGATGGGAGAGCTGGCTCTCTCCTCCCCACCAGACACACAGACACGCACACACAGCTCTCCATGGGCTGCCCTGCGTGTGCCTGAGAAGGGTCTGGGATAGAGACCTAAAATTCAGTCAGCAGATCTCTGTCAAGGGCCTGCCATGGGCCAGCCACTCTGATGAGGGCTTTCATCAACATGATTGCATTTAAACCTCACAGCCACCCCATGAGGTAGGTAGCATTACCCCTAGTTTACCATTAATGCAGTCAATCCCAACAGGTGACTTGCCCAAGTCACATATCTATTTAAGTAACAGGGCCAGCTTCCGAATCCACATGTGTGGCACCAAGTCTGGTATTCTTTCCCCCAGGCTGCATTGTTTATCTCTCTTGCAAAATGCTGTTTTCTTCCAGGGGCTGGGAAAGGGCTACTGGGGAGGTGAGACATGGAGATGGGGGTATAGGAGGCCAGGAGCAGGGCCCTAGGCTGAGGTGCTCTGCTTACCCCTCAGAATGGCCTTTGTGCTGCACCAGGCTGGGCCCCCCCACAGCCACGGGTCTAGGGGAGCAGAGTATGCACCGCTGGAGGAGGGGCCTGAAGAGCCCCTGCCCCTGGGGAACACCAGCGTCCGGGCGGCATTTGTGCACGTGCTGGGGGACCTCCTGCAGAGCTTTGGGGTACTGGCTGCCTCCATCCTCATCTACTTCAAGGTACCATCATTGGAGACCTGCCCCAGCCTTCCTCCCCACAACCACATCCCAGCCCACTCCTTCCCAGGTCCCAAAGCTTCCTTCCTCCTCCCTCCAGCTCCTCCCTCCCACCTCCCAGGACTCTCCCAGACATGAGTCATGTTCCCTGTCCCCTCTTCAGGGTTTTGAGGGGCCTCTCAGGTCATGTTTGTTCAAGATACCCCTAGATCTTCCTCTGAAAGGTCCCTGGTTGTTGGGCTTAGGGGTCTCTTTCTCTGCAGCCTCAATACAAGGCAGCCGACCCCATCAGCACCTTCCTCTTCTCCATCTGTGCCCTTGGATCCACCGCTCCCACCCTCCGAGACGTTCTTCGAATCCTCATGGAAGGTGAGTCGGGCACCACAGCTCCCCATCCCTGTGGCCCTCTCTGACTTTACTCTCGCAGTGGGCCATCACTTTTTTCTTTGAAGATAGTACGGGAAGAAGGCTTGGCTCATGGGGTCTGCTGCTGGAACAAGGATTTGGGCATAGGGTGAATTGTAGGGGTCAAAAGGAGAGTGCATACAGGATAGGGGAGGTGGAATCCAGTGGTGGGGGTGCTGCTTCTGGGCAGGAGTAGCCCTAGCAGTAAGGCATGACTGGTGCTGGTTGCAGGTACCCCCCGCAATGTGGGGTTCGAACCTGTGCGGGATACGCTGTTGTCGGTGCCAGGAGTCCGGGCAACCCATGAGCTGCACCTGTGGGCCCTTACGCTCACTTACCATGTTGCCTCTGCACACCTGGCCATCGGTGAGTCACACTGGCCCCAGCTAGTTACTACCTGGAACATACCCCACCCCAAACATGGGACCATAGCTTGAGTTACTGGAATTGTTTCAGTCTTTTTTGATCTGTCTCTGTTTCTCTGTGTCTCTCTCTCTCACATAGACACATACACACACACACACATGCACGTGCGCTCGTGCATGTTGGAGACAAGGAGTCTCCATCCACTGGATGCAGTGTTCTGGGGGCAGTTTCACCCTCTTTGAAGTAGCACAGGGAACCAACAACCCTTTAAAAGATCATTAGTACCTACAGGTCTAGTGATGGGGCACAGTTAGGTAAATTACAGCACCTCCACCCTGAGGTATCACATAACTGTTAAAAATGATGCTTGTGAAGACTGTACAGCAACTATGAAAAATGTTTATGGTATAATGCTGAGAAAAAAGCTGAATATAAAATTGCATCTACATTATGATTCAACTATTAAAAATATATATGGTGAGTCATGAGCTGACAAAGGATTTTTGAGTTTCTTCCAGATGCAAGAAGCAATCAGAGTCATGCAATTTGTATGCCAAAAATATTATAATTTGTGGGATATTTGATGGAAACTCTAGAGGGACAATGAGACAGATATTTAACAACTGGATTGTCCTGGGAAATCGGGTGGTATGGCTGCTGAAATGTTGAGCTGTATGTTGACACTTAATGACAGGAGAGAATAGGAGACTGGAAAGAGTTTAGTGTGTTAGCATGGTTGATTGGGGTGAGTCTCTCCAACATTTGATTTGACACTTTTATGCTGTTCATACAATACAGAAAGAAAAGCAGGCTTCCATTCACGCCTGGCTTTAATGCTGTGCAGCCCCTTTCCCTGTCCTTATCTCAGTCCCTGCCTGTTCTTTCTCCCCCGGGATGGATGCCGCCTCTTATCACTCTCCCACAGACTCCACCGCTGACCCTGAAGCCGTCCTGGCTGAAGCCTCATCCCGGCTCTACTCCCGGTTTGGATTCTCCAGCTGCACCCTGCAGGTCGAGCAGTATCAGCCGGAGATGGCCCAGTGCCTGCGCTGCCAGGAACCCCCCCAAGCCTGAGCCATGGCCCTGCCCTCACCCCACTGCCAGGCCGAGGCTCAGCCCCAGACTCTCAGCATCTGCTGCCCTGATCACAGAGACGGGACCGAGCCAGGTCCATACCCCTTCCTCTCTCCCTCCTACCACCTGCCAGTTTCCCCAGCCTCAGCCCCAGCCCCAGCCCCAGTGGGCAAGACCAAAGTGTGGCGGGGAGTGGGGTGGGAGTCAGGGGAATAGATGTGACTAGTTCAGGGGCGGGGACTCCCAGGCCTCAGTGTGGCAGGGTGTGTTGAAGGCCTGTGGTGCCATCTCCCCATGGTTCATGTGGAGCCACGAACATCCTTTCCCTGCAGTCCATTTGTCTGTGTGGCAGGCTGGCTGGCTGGGGGCATCTGCCTGTCTATGTGCTGTTGGTGTGCCTATGCCTGGGGGAGGTCAGTAGGGGCCCCCTCCCCACATGGCCCTCGCTCTGTCTATGCAGGGGCCCCAAAGCCCGCACTTTGTCCGTGTGTCTTAGCCCTGTGGTTTTGTCTGTGTGTGTGTGTGTGTGTGTGTGTGTGTGTGTGTGTGTGTTCTTGGTGCTGTGGCCTGTGTGTCTCTGTGCCTATGTGGCTGTGCTATGGTTTCTATGAGTCTGCTCCATCCATGTGTCTGTTTGGGGGTCTATCTCTCCATCCCTCTGTTGGTGCTGTGCCCTTGGCTATCCCTGAAAGAGGGAGGACTCCGCTGCAGCTCCACCAATAAACTTGTGTCTCACTGCATCTTTCAGCCTGTGTGCTGACTCCTCAGGAGGGGGAAGTCAAATAGGTCACTTGAGAACAACAGAATCCCTCCTGTCCCTTCCCAGCCTCTGGAGTGACCTCCCACAGACCTCCTGTCCCTTCCCAGCCCCTCCACCCTCAGATGGAGGGTAAAAGCCACCAGTCTCTTTACTCCCCTTCCCCTGGCTCACAGCATGCCTGGGTCCTTGGCTCAGGGACAGTCCCATGTGCCCTGGGCTTGGTTGCAGGAGAATGCTGGAAGGTAAGGAGCCAAGGAATCCCTGGGAGTCAGTCGTTCTCAGAGGTCCCTGCATGCCAGTGGGCCTCAGGCTGGCTGGAGGGAGGCTGGGTCCCTTTGAGGGAGAATGGCTAGACCATAGCACTGATGTGGGCTTGGTTCTCAGGCCATCTAAGGTGTCCAGCGGTAGGGACCCCTCAACCCTGATAGCAGCCAACCCTGAGTCCAGGTTTAGGCTGTGAACACCAAGGACCTCTTTTACACCTATTCCCCCTTTGTCTTAAGAACTGCATATTTTGACACATTAAGTCTTAAAATCAGGCTCATTAAGGGATTGTTGATTTTCTCTTTAAAAAAAATCAAACTCAAGCTGGACATAGTGGCCTGTGCCTGTAATCTCAGCCCTTTGGAGGCTGAGGCAGGAGGATTGTTTGAGCCCAGGAGTTCAAGACCAGCCTGGGCAACCTAGGGAAACCCCTGTCTCTACAAATAATTTAAAAATTAGCTGGGTGTGGTGGTGCATACCTGTAGTCCCAGCTATTCAGGAGGCTGAGGCAGGAGGATTGCCTGAGCCCAGGAGGTCAAGGCAGCAGTCAGCCATGATCATGCCACTGCACTTCAGCCTGGGCAACAGAGCAAGACCTTGTCTCAAAAAAAAAAAAAAATCAAACTCACTGGGTTTGGTGGCTCATGTCTGTCATCCCAGCACTTTGAGAGGCTGAGGCAGGAGGATCGCTTGAGGCCAGGAGTTCAAGACCAGCCTGGTCAACATAGTGACACCCTGTCTCTACAAAAAAAATTAAAAATAAAAATAAATTAGCTACGTGTGGTGGTGTATGTCTGTGGTTCCAGCTACTCAGGAGGCTGAGGTGGGAGGATCACTTGAGCCCAGGAGGTTGAGGCTGCAATGAACTATGATCATGCAACTGCACTCCAGCCTGAGCGACAGAGCAAGACTCCATCAAAAAAAAAAAAAAAGAAAAAAAAAGAAAAATCAGCTAGGCAAGATGGCTCACGCCTGTAATTCCAGCACTTTGGGAGGCTGAGGCAGGCAGATCACTTGACCCCAGGAGTTCAAGATCAGCCTGGGCAACATGGTGAAACCCTGTCTGTACAAGAAATACAAAAATTAGCTGGGCATGGTAGTGTGTACCTGTAGTCCCAGTTACTTGAGAGGCTAAGTGGGGAGAATCACTTGAGCCCAGGTTGTCGAGGCTGCAGTGAGCCATGATTGTGCCACTGCACTCCAGTCTGGGCAACACAGTGAGACTGTGTCTCAAACATGGTCAAACCCTGTCTCTACTAAAAAATACAAAAATTTGGCCGGGCACAGTGGTTCATGCCTGTAATCCCAGCACTTCAGGAGGCCGAGGTGGGTGGATCACCTGAGGTCAGGAGTTCGAGACCAGCCTGACCAACATGGAGAAACCCCGTCTCTACTAAAAATACAAGAATTAGCCAGTGTGGTGGCGCATGCCTGTAATCCCAGCTACTCAGGAGGCTGAGGCGGAAGAATTGCTTGAACCCAGGAGGCAGAGGTTGCGGTGAGCCGAGATTGCATCAGTGCACTCCAGCCTGGGCAACAAGAGTGAAACTCTGTCTCAAAAAAAAAAAAATTAGCTGGGCATGGTGGTGGGCACCTGTAATCCTGGCTACTCGGGAGGTTGAGGCAGGGAGAATCGCTTGAACCCGGAAGGCAGAGGTTGCAGTGAGCTGAGATTGCGCCACTGCACTCCAGCCTGGGCGACAGAGGGAGACTCTGTCTTAAAAAAAAAAAAAAAAATTAGACTCTGTGCTTTGATTTTAGATCTAGTGCTTCAGGCCTTCCCACCATGTTGATAAAATCCCAGCCCAAAGCAAGGACGTTGAGCATTTTCAATAGCCCATGCATATTTCTGTGAGCCTTCCTCATAATAGAAATATCTTTATTATCAGATTATTTTTACTATAAAAGCAATATATACTTGTTTTAAGGGTACAACAAAGGAAAAGTATATAAAGTAGAAAGTGAATGTTTCCCCTGTAATCTTACTTTCCGAGAAAACTGCTAATCCTAGTATGGGGTCAGTATTTCTACATAATAACAAAAATGGGGTCATCTTATAGGTGAGATCGTGTTACCTGTGTTTATGACTCAACCATGCAGCCTAGACTCATCTTTCCATGTCAAGACCATAGATTTCATTCCTTTTTAAAGGTGAGGCTTTTGGACTCATCAGAGGTAGCCCCCTCCCTGATGTCCAGCTGGGAGCCTTAGCCCAGGCTGGGTGAGACGCCACTGCCCACGTCAGGGTGTGGGAGGCTGGCGAAGCGAAGGGCTGGCAGTCCATCACGCCCGGCGGCAAGGCCGCCCCAGCTGCTCGCCATGCTTTGCTGGTTCCTGATACTTTCTCATTTTACGTCTCATTGATTATAGGCCCCAGGTGACAGGATGGGGGTGGGGAAGAGTGAGGAAATCGAGGAGAGGGAAGGAGGGTGGGGAACAGGAGGACTCGATTTTCACCCTATGAAATGCTTTAAGCCACAGCCTGTCCTATCTGTGCGATGCTGGGTCCCTTTGCAGGGGAATGCTCAGGGCAGGTGAATGCCTTCACCAAGCATCCAGTCCATCTTCTGCCCATAGAAGGAGGAGACTCAGGGAGGGAAAAAGACTTCCCCAGGGTCAGCCAGCACATGCCCAGGCTCTCATTCCCACTCCAGGCCCCTTTGAAGCTCTTGCCTAGTTGAGTTTCTCAGCAAATCTTTCCTCAGCCCTTCCAGCAGCCTGCTGCCGCTGGCACTCCCGTCCTGGGGCTCTGGGGTCAGACCCTCTGGTTCTGCTCTGCCTTTACTATTATTCTAGTCACAGTTAACCTCTCTGCGTCTCAGCTTTCTCAATTATAAAATAGTGATTACGTGATATCATGGGTGTGAATGTGCCTGGTATATAGAAGGTGTATATAAGAGTTAGCTTTTGGGTTGAACCCAGGATGCAGGGGAGAGATTTCAGGAGAAGAGAGTGGCCCGGCACCCTGACAGCAGGGACAGGAAGCAGCAATCATTGAGCTTATTTTGTGCAAGGCACTGTGGTGCGGACAGTATCCTGTGCACCTGACAGATGGAGAAGCAGGCTCACCTGCCCATGGTCGTGCAGCTGGTTCCACTCGGTTCTGAGTTCTGGCCCCTGGACGTCCCCAGCCCTCTCTCTATGCCATCCTGCCTTTCCACTCACCTTCGGGCATCGGGAGGATGAGGAGACAGGTCTCTGGAGCATTCTCCCACCTTCACACTGGGCCACCATCCCCGGGAGCCCAGGAAATCCTTATCTGCAGAGCTGCCTGCACTCCCCCATTATCCTCCTATCCTCCTTCTCCACTCGCTTATCCAGAAGTCCCTTTCCCCTGGGTGCCCTTCCTTGATGATAGATGGAGGAGGGAGAGTCGAGGGGAAGGGACTGGGCCTGGGAGGGGTGAGGGGAAGGCAGGGGAGAGCAACGCAGGTGGGGGAGGGCCCATCCCTCAGCCCAGCCCCAGCTCTTTACACAGCTGATTAACTAGGGGAGGGGTGGGCTTTCGGGTCAGAGAGGAACCAGAGAAGAGGGACAGCCAGGAAAGGGGTGAAATGGAGAGTGGAGGGAGAGAGAGGCAGGCCGGGTTTCCCTGCTGAGAGCTGCAGGGCTATTCAAAGGAGAAACTGGAGATCAAAGGGCCAGAATGCAGGGTGCGGACCTGAGAGGCTTCGTGCTGCAGTGACTGGGCGGAGGAGCATGGGCACATGGGCAGGTCCTGCCCTTCTCCCAAGGCTGCCCACCTGGGGGTGGCCCAGGGTGAGTCCTGCACCACGTTTAAGAGGCGAAGGCCAAGGCCCAGGGCCCAGCCGGCAGGGTCAAGAGGAAGCCCGGGTGATAAGCACCACCCTCCAGCAGCCCTCCCGCCCGGTCAGGGCCCCGGTGCAGCCGGCTTAAAGGAGGCATTTGGCCCTCCCGCTTCCTAGAGCCCGGCTGGCTGGGGAGCAGCGCCCCCAACTGGGGCATACGCCACCGCAGCGGCAGAGGCAGCCGGAAGTCTTTGCAGGGAGTCTCAGGACTGGGGTCAGGACGGGAAGACCCTTTTCCCCTCCGCCAGGCAGAGACCCTCACTGTGGAGAACTGTAGTCAGGGTGTTCCTTTTATAGTTGGAGTACTCTTTCTTAACTCTCCAACCTCCCTTCCCCCAACTCTGGCAGTTCCCAGGGCCTCCCTGTCCCTGGCTTAAGTCCCAGGGACACCTCGTCAGTACCTGGTCAGTACCTTCCAAGGGGTGCTTGGAGGGGCAGTTCCCAGGCCCCAACAGGGCAAAGCCTGAGGCCCCAGATGCAGCTGTGTGGGGGCTTTTTCCTTTTTTGAGATGGGGTCTTGCTATGCTGCCCAGGCTAGCCTCAAACTCCTGGGCTCAAGCAATCCTCCTGCCTCGGCTTCCTGAGCAGCTGGGACTCCACGTGTATACCACCACACCCCCAGATGCAGCTGTGATCACCAGCAATCCCATACACAAAGCAGGCCCCGTTTCCTTAACTGGCAAGAGAAAGAACGTGGGGAGAGTGGGTAGGCAGGAAGGCCCGGGTTGCCAGAGCCTGTGCCTCCCTCCTTCAGCCCTGGTCCTAGCCTTTCTCTGCTCTTGCCATTCCCCGTGTGGTACCCCAGACCCCCTCATCTGCTCTCTGGCTACAGCATCCTGGGGACAGGAAGAAGCCCAGACCTGGAGAAGCTCACTCAGAGGACACGACCCAAACAGCCTTAACCTCCGATTCCATTCTTTTGTTTGCTTTGGCTCAACAACGATGGCTATAAATTTTTAAAGGACTGTAGCCAAAAGCCTGGGGAGAAATAGAAGGGAACTGAACCCAGAATATTAAAAAGATAAGAAAGCTTACCAAAATAAGCAGGGTTCAGACCCTACAACAACAAACTTGCTTTTTCCTGACCACGGAGTCTGCCCAAGCATGGCCTCCCTGCTTTCCCCCATCCTGCTGGACCAGGACGTGGTCACACAGGACTGCTGGGAGACACAGTAAAACGGTGAGTGGCCTACTGACGGCACACTCCTTGAAGGAAGGCATGCTCCCCCAGCACTTAGCTCACAGCCAGACACCAAGTACATGCTCAGTATGACTGCTGGTGATGGAAGGAATGGGTGGAAGGATGGTGAACAGATAAATGTCAGGCCAATGCAAAGTCCATAAAATATCTTCTAATCCCCAGCTCCTACCAATGGGCCAACAAGCAGGTTTCATACATGCTGATTCCCGAGGTATAAATCTGTATCTGATGGTAGCATTTGATGGTAGCAATTCAGGTGCTCTCAAGCAGGCAGTCACTTCTATTTCTTTTCTTTTTTTTTTTTTTTTGAGATGGAGTCTCGCTCTGTCGCCCAGGCTGGCGTGCAGTGGCGTGATCTTGGCTCACTGCAAGCTCCGCCTCCCGGATTCACACCATTCTCCTGCCTCAGCCTCCCGAGTAGCTGGGACTACAGGTGCCTGCCACCACACCCGGCTAATTTTTTTTGCATTTTTAGTAGAGATGGGGTTTCACTGTGTTAGCCAGGATGGTCTCGATCTCCTGACCTCGTGATCCGCCCGTCTCGGCCTCCCAAAGTGCTGGGATTACAGGCGTGAGCCACCGCGCCCGGCCAGCTCATTTCTATTTCTTGGGTCCTCCAGGGAGTGCAAGCCCTTCTACGCCCCTGCCCTGGACATGGCTTCCCCCAGCCCCACCACAAATTCAGTGTTTAGCTTCCCCTTGAGTCCTGCTTGTGACTCTATTAATCTCCTGCGGATTCATCACAGCTTCCCTGACCTTCTCTAAAGCCTTTGAGCTCCCAATCTCAACACCCATTTTTTTCCTTGCCACTTGGTAAATGACCTCAGCTTCTAAACCAGTCCCTCAGTAACCTCGTGAAACCTGGTTACCACCACAAAGCATCAGCCTAACAACTATTGTGACAAGGTCCTTGCCTCAAATTTCCTTCTCTTTGGCCTGCTACAGGATTTGAATCTGCCAATACGTCTCCCGTCCCTCACACACTTGGAATTCTGGGCCTCTTGAGGGCTTTCTCCTGAGTTCTCCTGCGGCCCTTGCTGAAATTGAGGCTTGCCGCTATTCTCTTGGTGAACAAATATGCATATTTTAAAAGCTTCAATTACCTTTATGTTGATGCTTCGGTCAACACATTTACTGAGCACCTACTATGTGCTCAACCCTGTTCTGGTGTTTGGGATACATCAGTGAGTAAAGTCCCTGCTCTCATGGCACTTGTGTTGTCACATATAAATGCCACCTGTCTCTATTGTGCTTGCTCCAACTCCCCAGCTCCATTACCTCCATGACATCTCCATATAGATGGCCCACGGCAGCTAGGTATCATGCCCAAATGGAATCAGCCCTCCCCTACCCCAAACTGGCTATCTGGTCTACCTTCATCAGTCTTCTTTCTTCCAGTCTTGAGGTCCCACACTGTGCAGTCATTCTTCACTCTCCTCTCTCCTCAGTGTTATAACATCTATTCCTATCTCTGAATCTAGAACCTCTTCACCCATGATCTGTATTTACTGCAACAACTTCCTAATTGGCGTCCTGATGGTGAAATGGCTCCTTTCTCTCTTCTAGGCACTGTTGCCAGACGAGTCTTCCATTAAGCACTCATCCCATCCTGGCCCTCATTCTCTGCTCCTCACCTCCACCAGCCAATGCCCCCTCATTGTCCCAGGGGATATTACTGCAGAACTACAGACACTTTGCAATTTTACACTGGGAATTGCCAACTACCCTTTTAAAGCCTATAGGTGGGTTGGGCATGGTGGCTCATGGCTGTAATCCCAGCACTTTAGGAGGCTGATGCAGGAGGATCACTTGAGCCCAGGAATAGACCAGCCTGGCCGGGCGCGGTGGCTCATGCTTGTAATCCCAGCACTTTGGGAGGCTGAGGCGGGCGGATCACGAGGTCAGGAGATCGAGACCACGGTGAAACCCCATCTCTACTAAAAATACAAAAAATTAGCCGGGCGTGGTGGCAGGTGCCTGTAGTCCCAGCTACTCGGAGAGGCTGAGGCAGGAGAATGGCGTGAACCCGGGAGGCGGAGCTTGCGGTGAGCCAAGATCGCGCCACTGCACTCCAGCCTGGGCAACAGAGCAAGACTCCGTCTCAAAAAAAAAAAAAAAAAAAAAAAAAGTAATAGGCCAGCCTGGGCAACATGGCGAATCCCCATCTCTATAAAACAAAACAAGAACAAAAATTAGCCAGGTGTGGTGGCATGTGCCTGTGGTCCCAGCTATTCTGGAGGCTGAGTGGGGAGGATAACTTGACTCCAGGAGTTTGAGACCAGCCTGGACGACATGGCAAAACCCCATCTCTACAAAAAAAACACAAAAAATTAGCCGGGCATGGTGGTATGGCCATGGTGGTCCCACCTCCTTGGGAGGCTTAAGTGGGAGGATCACTTGAGCCCATGAGGTCAAGGCTGCAGTGAGCTGAGATCGTGCCACTGCACTCCAGCCTGGGTGACAGAATGAGACCCTGTCTCAAAAACAAAATTTTAGTATAAAAAATAAAAGCCCACAGGCATACTGACTTGCCATGGTTGCAGGTAGTTAGTTGTAAGGGCCAGGACTAGAGTGCAGCTGACAAAGCTCCCGGTGGACTACCTATGTTGAGGGGGATGTCTCCTTCACTAGGGTGGACAGTGAAGAGGTGGGAGAAAATGGCTGTAATAGCAACCCAACGTTAGCCACACTTCTTTCAAGGTGGGGGATAGTCAAAGGATTCATCCAAGTGTCAAAGGGATGTATCTGTAAAGCGCTTAGAACAGTGCTTGGCATATAAATGTTTCTTATAGAAGAAATAGATCAAACCTCTTAAGTACCTCAGGAAGCAAACTAACTTTTTATGCTTCATGACAATTACATGGCAGATATGAAGTTGTTTCTCAGTGGATGTGGAACAGGCCCAAAGGTATTGTATTAAAGGGCTAATTTTGGCTGGGTGCGGTGGCTCATGCCTGTAATCCTAGCACTTTGGGAGGCTGAGGCGGGCAGATCACTTGAAGTCAGGAGTTCAACACCAGCCTAGCCAACATGGCAAAACCCCATCTCTACTAAAAATACAAAAAGTTAGCTGGGTGTGGTAGCACATGTCTGTAGTCCCAGTTACTCGGGAGACTGAGGCAGGAGAATCACTTGAACCTGGGAGGCGGAGGTTGCAGTGAGCCAAGATTGCACCACTGCACTCCAGCCTGGGCAACAGAGCGAGATGCCATCTCAAAACGATAAAAATTTTAAAAAATAAAGGGCTAATTTTGGTTTTTGCTGGTAAGTTTTTTCATTTTGTTTCCCAATATAATGAGATTTACTTTCTGGTCATACGGGAAAAAACTTTATTCAACTCAGAGCTGAGCTATGATTAGGAGAGCCAAAGAAAGGCTCAGGACAGGAACATCTCCCACCACTTAGCAACTAAGTAAAATGCGTCCGCTACTTGGCAGAAAACACTGCTTCTACTTGAGGGTGAGGCTATCCAAGTTCTGTGGGAATCTGTGTGCGAGTCCCAAGTACTCATGAGTACAATTGGGAAAATAATCTCTGACTTGTTCTAAGAGTTTAAGCAAGGAAATGGAGTCTCTAGAAAGAAAAAGAAGAGTTCTGGAAATGGTACTCTATTTTCCAACCAATAAAGTCCTCCAGGTACCTGAGGGAGACCTTGTCAGGCAGGAATCTGGGTTTGGAAAGACTGGAAAGGGTTAACATTAGCAGGACTGGAGGCCTCCACACTCTAGGACTTAGCATTATACTTAATACCCTCCTTCAAATAGTACCTGTGGTTGTAAATTAATATTTTTGTTGGAATTGACATCCAAGCCCCCTGTTCTGGTCCGTCAGACTCTCAACCCTCACAATACTCAGTAGGAATCTCCTGCTGCGTTCAGTGTCTCCTCACTGTACCGCAGACACAATTTCCATTCCTCTCGAACTGTACTGTAAAGGAGACTCTTCGTCCTTCCTCACGACACAGCTCACACCCCACGGCACAGGGTTCTCCGACTCCGTATCTGTGCTGACCTCTTCTGGAAACTGGTTCCCTACAGGACTGCTTAGATTTGTGGCTTGTCTTTCCCACTGGTTTTTGGATGCCCTTAAAGCCAGAAATGACCTTTCCTTTTAACAGAAAGGTGGGTTGTTAAGTCAAGAAGTCCTGCGTATGAGTCTCAAGGTGAGTGGCCCAGCAAGCTACCACCTTTTTTTTTTTTTTTGGAGATAAGAGTGTCACTGTTGCCCAGGCTGGAGTGTAATGGTGCCATCTTGCCTCACTGCAACCTCCACCTCCTGGGTTCAAGCGATTCTCCTGCCTCAGCCTCCCAAGTAGCTGGGATTACAGGCGCACACCACCAAACACAGCTGATTTTTATATTTTTAGTCGACAGGGTTTCACCATGTTGGCCAGGCTGGTCTCAAACTCCTGACCTCAGGTGATCCGCCTGCCTCAGCCTCCCAAAATGCTGAGATTACAGGGGTGAGCCACCGGCCCCCACCACTTCTCTGAGCCAGTGTCCACATCTGTGAAATGGGTGGAAGGCTGGTGTGAGAAATGAGAATACGCATCAAGTTCCTGTTCACACTAAGTTCTCAAAAAACGAGGTCCTTCTCCTTTTCTCATCTCTAGAATACGCTGTTACTCTCTGGATGAAGTAGGTGATTCCTGAATGGTGTCAGAGCAGTTTGCACTATCATGTGCCAGTGTGCAGCAGTTTAATCTGTAGAAGCCACTGGAAGCCTTATGACCCGAGGCTGAAAACTGAGGGTGAGAATTGCCTTGTTCTTCCTTGTACTCCCACTGCACATGGTGCTTTGTACCCACAGAGTGCTAAGTTTTGTTGGAACAAGAAATGAGATTTCTCCAATGCTACTCAAGTTCACTGGAGGGCACAGCTGCTCCTCAGAAGCCCTCACCCACAGACACATAAGCTACTGCCCTTAGGCTGCTGCCCTGGGGTCTCCAAGCCAAAGTGCTCCTCAGCCCTCCATGGCATCTGCCCCTCTGTCCAATGTCAGGCAGAGGCTCCCAGGGATGGGAAATAGGAGGGGCTCCTAATAGTGACAGTGGCTGAAGAACTCCAGGGTGGTTTTGAGAATGCAATGGCAGCCTTAGCCACTGGAGGAGGACTAACCAGAAAGAGTGAGGAAGAGTCCAGGCCTGGCCTCAGACAGGCCGCAGTGCTCAGCCTTCCTTTTACCCTGATGAGTGTTCTCCCAGTGTCAGGAAGAGGGCAGAACTCTCTGTCAGGTCTTTGAGTCAACTGAATTGAGGAAGGAGGGCTGGACACCAGCCAGAGCCCCCAGGTAAGCGCTGGCATCAGCACGACACAGGACTCAGAGAGCACAGAGTTAACACGCTCCTGCCGAGTCCCAAAGAGTCACGAGTGTGAAAATGCCGAGTGTGGGCACGCAGCCCTAGCCAGAGCCCTGCCTGGTGAGGCTGCTCTTATAATTTGGGAATCTGCTCAATTTTCTAAAAGAAAGCTCTGTTCTACTACACTCAGCATCAAGGGACAGCTCGGCTGTTTATTAAGTCAGTAGAAAAATGACTGTACAGGTTTAAGGTGCAGGAATGAAGATGGGGCAGACTGGGCCCCAGCATCTGAGGCCCCACCCCCATGCCAGAGAGCTCCAGTCCAGAGCCTGAAGTGTGGTCAGCACATGTGAGCTATCTGGATGTCCAGGAATATCTAAGTGTGCTGCCCCCGTAGGAGGCACTGGAATTCCTTGCCCAGCAGCTGGGCCTAAAGAGAAGAGGCTGAGGAAGCCAGGCCCTAGAAACGGCCCAGCACGGTGGCTAACAGAGCCATGCGGATGTACATGCCGTTCTCAGCCTGGCGGAAGTAGGCTGCGCGGGGATCCGAGTCCACTTCCACGCTGCAAAAAAAAAAAAAAAAAAAAAGGAAGTGTTATCGTGCAGCCCATGGATGGCTTGTCCAGGACTAAGTCTCCTCCCGTCCACCAGCCCCGAGGCAGTCTCTGACTCTGATGCTGCACCACCTTATCTCGTTGACACGGGGCATCGGGTGCATCACCACCATCTTCTTCTTGGCCCGGGTCATGATGTGGGGAGTGAGGATGAACTGACCAAAGCACTGCAAAGCAGATGGGGTCCCCATTAGTGCCTTGGGGTAGGAGTGGCTACAGAGGACACAAGTCTGGGCTCCACTGGGGTCCCCTCCACACCCACATGCAGCTATGGCAATTGACAGATGTGAAGTTTAACAGCTCTGACCCAGCCCTCAGCCCAGCCTTTCTGTCCTCATATCTGATGCCCTACGGCAGCAGCCCTGGCTTCTTCCTCAAGCCCAGCACTCACAGCTTCGTACTCCTGGGTAGAGCCAAATCGTTCCTTCTGGATTCGAGTCATGTAGAGCACATCAGTGTCAGGCAGCGCCTCCTCAATGCTCTCGAATTCCTCCTGGAGGGTGAGGAGAGCCATGGTGGATGCAGCGCTGGGCTCTGACTGCCCAACCCACATCTCCATGGCTTCCAGGCAGGGCTGTGAGGGTCTCACCTGCTTGGTGCCGCGGGAGGCCACGAAGGCCCGCACAGTGGGTGGCATGCGCAGGCTGGGAGGTGCCACGTAGCGCAGGCTGACACGATACTGGGTGAGCAGGCAGGCCAGGGAATGTACTGTGCGTCCGTGCTTCAGGTCACCCACCATCGTGATCTAGGAGAGGAATCCAGTCACCACAGGGATCCCAGACTGAGTGCCCCCCGACATCATTTCCAAGCTTTTAAAAGCCTCTGGAGCAGAATGAAGGCCTCCTTGATGCAGCTGTCCTGTACCGGGGTAACCACTTCCTGCCTCCCTCTCTAGATCGTCCCCTGGCAGGGATCCAAACCCTGCCACCACCCTCACCGTCATGCCATTGACAGTTCCCAGCTCCTCACGGATGGTGAAGATGTCCAGCAGGGCCTGGGTGGGGTGCTCTCCGACCCCATCCCCAGCATTGATCACTGGCCTCCGGCAGTGCTTGGCGGCCAGCTGGAAAAAAGGGGAAAATCCTGTCTTTTGCAGCTCAGAGGCCCCCCAACTGCCAGTCCCCCTCTTCTGGGGTCCCCTCACTCATCTGGCCCAAAACACAGAAAACGTGGGCAGAAGGGTTCTCATGCCCCTGGGTCCAGCCTTCTTAACCCCATCTCAGTACCCAGGCTGGCCTCACCTCCACTGCTCCAGGCTGGGGGTGCCGGAGCACGACGACGTCGGCATAGCAGCTCATGGTCTGCACGGAGTCAGCCAGGGATTCGCCCTTCTGGACGGACGATGTGGCTTCCGAGAAGCTGAGCACAGCACCTCCCAGCCGGGCCATGGCTGCTGCAAAGGAGCTGCTGGTCCGTGTGCTCACTTCATAGAACATGGAGGCCATGACCTTCCCCTAGGGAAAGAGCAAGATGGAAGGTGTACGTATGCGTGTCCACCCTGGGGAAACCCCAGCTAGGCACCACCACCCCAACTGACACTTGAGGGGTGCTGTGAGGACCCTTCTGCACCCAAACCTCCCCTGTGACCTGTCAGAGCCTTGACGTTTCCACCACTGGTGTCACTCTGAGCTAAAGGCTCTGCCTCCAGAAAACCACCCATCATTAAGTGTCTGAACGAGCTGGGAAAGGAGGACACACCCTAGCTCTCTCCCATGATTGCAGCAGCCCAGACCAGAAGACCCCACTAGTGGGGCGATGGTCTCATGCTCAGGGCCTCCCCAGCCAGCTAAATCCTGCTTTGGGGAGGGAAAACGTGGGGGAAGATCTACAGCAGCAGAGGGATGGACTAGCATAAGGGGACGGGATGGCAGGGGGAGGAAGACCCACTCTGACCACTGCGCGGCCCTGCGCTGATGCGGCCCAAGGGCAGGCGATGGCCTGGACCCTACCCCCGGCCCTGATCCTGACCTTCAGGATGTCGAGGCTCCGCTCCTTCTGCACCATCATACGCAGTGTGTGTGCCACATTGAACAGGTGAGACATCTAAGAAAGAGCCCAAGTTAGCTAGAAAGGTCCTAGCCCCAGCTTTCCAAATCCTCAAAGCTCTGGGTGGTCCCATCCTCCCTGCCCCAGGCACCTGATCCTTGGTGAACTGCTGGACGGACAGGATATGTTGGCCCACTAATGAGTGCAGCAGGGGTGAGGTCTGGGGGTGCAGCAAGCCAGGGGTCCCCAGGTTCTGGGGAGATGCCTGTCTCGGTACTGGTGGTGGAGGGTAGCAGGTGCCATCAGGGGTTCCCATCAGCTCTGCAGTGAGGGATGGGGCAGAAAAGGCTGGTCAGAGGGTTCCTCCTACCAAGGCCAGATCAGAGGTCCCCGAGGTGAGTGTGTGTCAGGGTGGAGTCTCACCTGGCTCGGCTACCTTCCGAGAGGACTTCTCCTTTGGCTCCTCAGCTGCAAACAGGACAAGAGGACAGATATACATTTATGGCTGAGGTTTGGAAAGAAACCCCATATTCCCAGGAACTCTGAATCACAGTGTATATGTTAAACCAATTCACAACACAGTAATATAGCAGGTTAGGGGAGGGCAGGGGACTGCAGCAGCTCTGGGGACAGACAGGTGGCTTCCCATGGGGCTGTGTTGTATGGGAGCAGTGGTGCCCTCCCGGGGCTCTCCCAGTTGGCAAAGGCATCCTAGGCAAGAGGAACGGCCAGACTCACACCAACCAACAACCTGGATTTACCCCACGCTCTGCTGCCCCGTGGGATCCCAGCTCCTGGGCGGAGGAACACAGCTGCCCACAACAAAAAAGGGCATGTGAGAAGCTGTGAGATGTCTACTCACACCGGGGAGACTTGTTTAGGCAAAGGATGGCACGGCAGATCAGACGAGGATAAAGGGATGGAGAGGAGGACATGTAAGTAGAGAAAGGCGAGGCACTGGGAAGAAGTGGATCCTGTCCCTACACAGTCTCTGAGTCACAGGAACCCCACTCTTACCTGGCAAACCTGGGTCGGAGGCTCGATGGATTCGGGGCGGCAGATGGAAGCGGCCATCAGGAAGCCCTGGGATGCCACGGCGGGGTCTTTCAGGTGTCTGGAGGGATAACGTTGGCCCAGAGTTGTTTTTTTTTTTTTCTTTTGAGACGGAGTCTCGTTCTGTCGCTCAGGCTGGAGTGCAGTGGCGTGACCTTCTGGGTTCAAGCAATTCTCCTGCCTCAGCCTCCCAAGTAGCTGGGATTACAGATGTGCACCACCACGCCTGGCTAATTTTTTTATTTTTAGTAGAGATGGGGTTTCACCATGTTGGCTAGGCTGGTCTTAAACTCCTGACCTCAGATGATCCGCCTGCCTTGGCCTCCCAAAGTGCTGGGATTACAAGTGTGAGCCACCACATCTGGCCTGGCCCAGCATTTTAAAAAAATAATTGACCCAACCCCACTTCAAATTCAGTCCCTCAAGAAAACCCCAATTGTTCCTGAACCACCAATGAAAATGTTCAAGCTGTTCATCCTGCCCTGAGACTAACACCTCCCAGCCCCCTAGCCCAGTAGTGTGGATACCGTGGTCATCTCACTAGTGGCAGGGGCTGAGGGTGGGAGCTGAGGAACAGCCCCCTGTGGCCACTTCCGTACATCCTGTCCATAGCCCGGGGGTACCAGAACCTGCAGGCAGAAGGCAGGGCACTCAGGAGGGAGCAGAGAGAACTCAGGTCCTAAAGGGGTAGATGTCAGCAAGGACAAAAAGCACCTTGGGGGAGCTGTGCCCCCAACCCCTGGTCCAGGGCAGTGGTGCACATAGTGGGACAGTGTAGATGTGCTGGGAAGGGAAGAAATGAACGTGGTGCAGAAGAGGGCACTACTGAGATCAGGCAGGGGCTACTTGCGTACCTGCCCATCGATATAGGCAACCTCCCCTCGCAGGACCACACGGCGGACGGTGCCCTTCACTTTCTGCCCTTCAAAAGGTGTCCAGTGGGCCTTGGAGAAGGGCATGTGGCTGGGAATTGTCCACTCATGCTCCAGATCCACCTGCCCAGAGGACATGGGTTATGCTAGGGAAAGGATCCCCAGAGAACATATCCTAGGGCTGGAGAGCCCCCCTCCTGCTCTGGGCCTCATCCCCACACCTCCACATAGGTGTCCTCCTGCGGGGGCAGGTGAAAGATGCGCCGAGGATTGTGGTGCAATCGCTGCAGCAGGTCGTCCAGGCTGAGCCGGCCCTCGCTTACAGCCGTCAGGAGTAGTGGCAGCATGGTCTCTAACCCTGGGAACCCAGGTGGGGGCCTGGACCCACACTTCTCCTCCAAGGTATGGGGAGCTGGGAGAAAGAAAGCCATTACCCTCAGGACCAATCACCTCCATGTCTAGGAAGTCACTCACACCCCAGGACTGCACTTCCAACAACCTCCTTATGCTCACTACCACTCCCAATGCTCATTTTTTCTGGGAACTAGAAACAAGGGCAACAGGACTGCTGCCATCTTCTGGAGCCCACACTTTTACCCATGTATTCTTTCACTTGCAGTTCTACTCACTGGCTCATTCATTCTTTCAACAAGTATTTATCAGGCACCTATCACAGACCAGGTACCCTAGAGGCTAGGGTCCCATACGGATCAAGACCCTGTCCTAGTAGAGTCCTGAGGCCTGGCCTGCTTCCCATTTTCTTGCTAGGGCTGTCCCACAAGCCCCACTGGGCAGAGGAGGTACATGCTGGATTCTCTCACCATGGTCTGAGGCAAAGCAGTCGATGACAGCCATGTTCTCCCACAGGGCTTCCACATCCTGGCGGGAGCCAAGCTCAGGCCGGACCTCCCCCTTCCCAGGCCCCAGGCGCTCCAGGTCATCATGGCTTAGGAACAGGTGGTGGGGAGCCACCTCGCAGGTCACTGGCAAGCCCCGTGCCTTTGCAGCTTTAATTAGCAGGATCTGGGGAACAATGGGAAGATCCAGAAGAGGCACCACCCATATGCCTTGCCCTACACAAAGTCCCAATGGCCAACATCCCTGCTCAAAAAATGATGATGTAGACCTGCAAGGGTGCTGGCTCGAGACCCTCCTCCTGCTGTCTCCAGACTCTCCTCCTGCTGTCTCCTGCCCCTAAGGACTACCCTGACCTTTGGTGTTACTGGGAAAGCAACAGGGACAGCAGGATCTCAGGTGTACTCTTACCTCCTCCTTCCGTGCCACGTGACATATGTGCACTGAGCGCTGAGTGAGCTGAGCCACCATGAGGACAGCAGCCACGGTTTGCTGCTCTGCGTGAGCCACAATGGGGAGGTGGGAGGGCCATGTCTCGAAATGCTGGGAGCAGAAAGAACTGATGAAGGAGTGTGCAGAATCTCTGACTGTGCTCATCAGAGCCCAGAGTCCCCAGGAGCTCCCCTGAATCCTCACTGCTACCAGCCCACTTAGGCAGGGGCCCACAAGCCAGGAGACACTGGGTGGTGGCCTCCTGCCACATGCACACTCCCTACCTCCATCCACTGGACCACGCTGTCCAGCCGCAGCTCAGAGAAGGTCTCATTGAGGTAAAGCTTCAGCCCGGCTGCAGACCCGGCCACGGTGCCCAAGGTTCCTGCATTTTCAGACGAGGCCCCAAGGAATAGCGCAAAGTCGCACCGGGCGCCAGCCTCTGCCAGCTGGAGAGGATACACAGAGGTAAGGCTCACTGGCACCCATGCCCACACAGGCTAGCCTGGCACCAGTGGCCTGGGCCCATAGGGCGGGGCAGAAGGAAAAGGGCTCAGGGAAGCAAGGGTGGCTGGTAGGGGCATATGGGTCTCCAATACCAGGAAGAGTGCAGTGGCTCACCTTCTGGGCCAGGGCCAGAGCAGGGGCGTCAATGATGGGGGGCCGGGTATTAGGCATGGCACACACCATGGTGATACCCCCAGCCAGGGCAGCGGCTGTGCCTGAAGCAAAGTCCTCCTTATGTGTCCCACCTGGTTCCCGCAGGTGCACATGGACATCAATCAATCCTGGGAGAAAATGGAAGCAGCAAGATTACAGGAAGATTCAGAAATAGGAAGGGTGAGCTGGACATGGTGGCTCACGCCTGTAATCCTAGCACTTTGGGAGGCCGAGGTGGGCAGATCACCTGAGATCAGGAGTTCGAGACCAACCTGACCAACATGGTGAAACCCCGTCTCTACTAAAAACACAAAAATTAGCCTGGTGTGGTAGCACACACCTGTAATCCCAGCTACTTGGGAGGCTGAGGCAGGAAAATCGCTTGAACCTGGGAGGCGGAGGTTGCAGTGAGCCGATATCACACACCACTGCACTCCAACCTGGGCGATGGAGTAAGACTCTGTCTCAAAAAAAAAAAAAAAAAAAAAATTCCTCAGACAAGGCCACTGTGGACACTGTGGATTAAGGAATGAAAGAGTGAGAAACATTCTGGGGTCTTCACAGTCTGTGCAGTCCAGGACAAAGAGTGGGCCCCCCAGCCATCCTTCACCACACTGCAGGTCTCTATGCCAGGGGCTGCCAGTGTTCAGAAGCCAAGTTCTCCCCAAAGACTTACCCGGCAGTCGCACAAGCTTTTGGGAGGTCATACAGTCAACATGCACCTTCAAAGGAGGGGCTGGCCCGATCTGGCCTAGGGCCTGCAAGTGGAAAGCAGTCAGCTTTAAGGGAAGGGTGATCCTGGGAGTTGTAGGGAGAGATGTGGTTTTCCCATAAACCAGGCTCTGCACACTCTATACCCACCATCTCTCCCTCTGTAGCCACAAAGCTTTATTACTAGCATGGCTGTTCCATACTCACTCCTCCCTCTTTCTTCTTCCCATCAACACTGGCAGTCTCCCTCCCAGCACATGGGTCTCAGTTACCTCCACAAAGAGTTTGGTGCACTTGATATCGATGATTAGGGGCACGGAGAAGTCAGCGGCCAAGCGTCGGGTGCGGTAGCCCTTGGTGACAAAGGAAGAGAGACGCCGGCCCCCAGCTCCACGCATTGACAGGTTAATCACCAGCTCAAAGTTTTTCTCAGCTAGCTGCTCCAGGATGCTCCGCTGTGGTGGGCACTCACCATCCACAGCCTCCTCAAAGTGCCAGTCCACAGCTGTTACCTGCCAACCCGGAGTCAAGGTCAGGGCCAAGCTGTCTGGCAGCGGTCAGGAAGGCTAGCCTTAAGGGAGAGGAGCTGGCCCAGGAGCCCATGATGAGGAGACTGAGGACCCATAGGGTGGGCACTGAGGGCTGCCTCTATTTGATACTGGCAAAGTGTATTTCTTGGCAGGAAAGATATCTACACTAAGTAAGATGGGTTACCAAGGACTAGGTGCAGTATGAGCTCACACACATGTACACAGAGAAAATCCTGGAAGGAAAAATATCAGAACAGTGGTACAGAGATTTTAAGAGACTTTTCTCTTTGCTTCCTGTGTATTCTGCTTTCTGCATGGAATATAGCTTACTAGTATAATGGTAATAATAAAAGCAGGGGAATAGGAGATAATTCTTTGTTTTTTTTTTTTTTGAGACAGCATCTCACTGTTTCCCAAGCTGGAGTGCAGTGGTGCACTCACTGCACACTCGCAGCTCACTGCAGCCTCTACCTCCTGGGCTCAAGAGATTCTCCTGCCTTAGCCTCCTGAGTATCTGGGACTACAGGTATATGCCACCGTGCCCAGCCCAGATAATTCTTTGGTGCAGTATTTTCACCCCCTTGGGGAAGGGCAGCAGTGGGGTAGGTTGCCAGAGTTCCTGCACCTTGACGCCATGCTCAGTGTAGAAGTCAGCTGTGCCGAGACTGGCATAGAGGCTGTAGCCCAGGCTCTCCAGTAGCCGCACAGTTGGGAGCAGCTCGCTTTTGTTCTGAAACCAAACAGAAGGATGAAATTGTTTTCTTCCTGTCTTCCATTTCAAGGTCAGCCCTGGCCCAGGGAGCCACGGCCCTCGGGAAGCCCTCCTGGATTCTGATACCTTATAGCTGCCAATGGTCAGCAGGATATTCTTCTTGGGGATCTTAAAGCCAGTGCTTAGCATGGCCTTGAGGTATGCCTCACAGCGGCTCTCCCCAAAGCCGGCCACCTCCCCAGTACTGGTCATTTCCACACCCAACACCACGTCAGCACCCGCCAAGCGGGAGAAGGAGAACTGAGGCACCTAAAGGGGCGGGAGGGAAGAGAGAGGGCCAAGGTGTGAGAGGACCTCCTCCCTCACCAGCAGAGACGGACACAGTACCCTGTGCTTGATCCCATCTGAATGGCAGGGTCAGCCTGCCCTCTCTGTGTGCCCTCCTGCTTTCCAAACGTACTTGGGGTCATCCCTCAGCTTCTGCTTAGGATGTGCCCTTGCAAATAAAAAACCTTAACCATCCTTCAAAACTCAATTCAAATAGCACCCCTTCGCTCAAGCCTTCCCAGATCACCCCTTTTGGAAGCAGCACCTCCTGTCTCTTGAACTCCTGCAGCATTCTGTTTACAGGTCGAATATGTAGTTTTACCACGGACTGTTCTATACCAAAGCTTTTTTGGGGATCCAACTTCTCTTCCCTCCCATTACCATAAAGTAAGCTCTTAAGGGACAATGACCACCTCATTACCCCCACGATCCGGCAATGCCTTGCAGTCAGTGCCTGGTTTACATACTGACAACTCTGTGTGGTGAGTGAACTCTCTCCCGCTATTTTTCTGCTAACCCCAAGGGTTTCGATATTCCTTACCTTTACTCCCACGACTCCAGAACCAGTCATTAGCCCCACAGGTTCCACTTCTTCCCCCATGATGACCCGCGTGGCCAAGGCTACTAGGTCCACACCCAGTGTCTTGGAAACGAAGGGGAAGGAGCGAGAGACACGTACGTTGCATTCAATAACTTTCAGCTGGTCATCCTGGGGCAGAGAAGACTGGTCAGGCCTTCTGCAGGTTGGCCTTGCTGACACTATCTATAGGCCTAGACTCTTCCTCTCCGTCCTCAGCTCTGGGGGATCAGACTGAGCAGGGTTCAGGGTCACTGACTGTCATAAGCCCCAACACCATGAGCTCTAGCTACAGCCCTTTCCCTCCAGCTTCCCTGCCTACTTGGATGAAGGCAGGAGACAGTGCAGGGCTTCATGGCACTGTGGCCAGCACAGAACATGCAAGAGCTGTGGCCCTTTAGTTCTTTCCTTTAGCCTTATTACCTTGGCAATGAGCTGCAGATTGAAGGGTCCTGTGACCTGTAGCTCCTGGCCCACAGCATGCACAATGGCTTTGATCCGCTCCAGGGTTTTGGCAGTGATATCTTGTGGGGGGGTCACCAGCGTCGCATCACCTGAATGCACACCTGCATTCTCCACATGCTCAGAGATGGCGATGGCTGCCACCACACCATCAGAGGCCACGGCATCCACGTCAATCTCCTAGCGGGGGGACACAGACAGTGGGACATAGGGCCACTTTCTTCTCTCACTTACTCTAGGATTGTCTCTTCCTTTAACGAGCCCCACATAGCCCACTGTTCCCAGCCCTGGTGCCTATGATTCTGCTGGACCAGAGAAGGAAGTCTCCTCCAGGGCTGGCAGCATGCCCTCAGAGACTTCACTGTCTGCAGCCTCCCACCTTAGCCTCCTGGATGAACTTGGAGATGACCACGGGATGCTCTTTGGAGACGGCTGCTGCGCTGCTCAGGAAGCGCTCCAGGTCTCCATCCGTGTAGGCCACATTCATAGCAGCACCGCTCAGCACATAGGAGGGGCGCACCACACAGGGGTACCCCACGGTCTGGCAGAATTGGCGAGCAGACTACAGGAGGCAGGGAGCTTAGCTGAGTTGTTCACACTTTCCCCCAAGCATCATCCAGCCTCCGGGTAACCCACCAGGTCCCAGCCCACCTCGAGGTCACTGAGCTCCCTCCACTGAGGCTGGCTGATACCAATGGTGTCAAGGAGCCGGGAAAACTTGAAACGGTTCTCAGCCGAGTCAATGGCTTCAGGGGAGGTGCCCAGCACCCGGCACTGCTGCCGATGCAACGCCATGGCCATGTTGTTGGGCAGCTGTCCACCCATGGATAGGATCACACCTTCAGGGTTCTCGAGCTCATAGATGTCCATCACCACCTACGTTGCAGGGGGAGAAACAAGTGGTGGCAGCAAAAGAGGGCAGGAATCTGAGCCTTCCTGCTCACTGCTTCCCTCAGCCGCCACCAAGTTTCAAAGAATCTTAGGTCAGCCAGCTGTTCTACTCGACCCTGGCCACTCAAGCTACCAGGAAGCCTCCATCTCCCTCACCTCAAAAGAGATCTCATCAAAGTAGAGTCGATCACACATGTCATAGTCGGTGCTGACTGTCTCTGGGTTATAGTTCACCATGATGGTCTTATATCCCATCTGCAAGAGGGAGGGGAAGGGTACTTAGCAGTCAGGTGGGAGGAAAATCGTGGAGAAAATCGTGGAGAAACTAAGCCAAAGCCCCTACTTCAGAGACTGCCAGCACAGCTTCCTCTGAAAGAGCTGTACAGGACCCCTGCCTTGGGAGGGAAGGAGGTACAAAGTGTTGGGGAAGAGATTCATATACCGTGTGGGGCATGAGAGATGGCCTAAAAGGACCCCCACCCCAAAGCTCTATGACCAAAGTAAGGGACGGCAATTAATAGGAAATGCCAGGATTAGTGCCAAGCAATTGCTAGAGATGAACAGAATAGCAAGGAAAGTGGAAAGAAAATGAACTCTCTGACCTTTCGGAGCTGCTGGATGCAGCCTACAGCACACCAGTCAAATTCAACGCTAGAGCCAATACGGTAGACGCCAGAGCCAAGGACTAGGACATGAGGTGTTCGAAAGGTGAGGTCATGGGTGGTGCCCCAATACGTTAGGTATAGGTAATTTGTCTGGGCTGGCCACTCAGCTGCAACTGTGTCAATCTGTTTCACTGCTGGACAGATCCCCAGTTCCTGACGCAGCTTGCGAACAGCCAGCTCTGTGCTAAAATAGAAAAAGGGTCTGAAACACAGGCCCAGAGAGTAGGGTACAGACTGATAGAGGGTTGAGACCCCAGGGCACAGATGAGAGGAAATATCCTTGGAACCAAGGTCAGAAGCCTCTAAAGCTCTCCCACACTCTCCTTCCTCCCTCCCAAGGGTCCCTCACTGATACAAAGGTTCTGCCCCACATTTCCCAGCCGGAAGCTCTCATTGCCACCTCTGACCTCAGAACTGCAAGGGCAATCTGTTTGTCTGAGAAGCCAAGACACTTGGCCTGTTGCAGCAGGTCTGGCGGCAAAGGCTGTCCACGGTGTTGTTCTAGCAGCTGGGCATGTGCGATGATACGCTTCATTCGGTGCAGGAACCAGCGGTCGATGCGTGTGAGCTCATACAGGCGGTCCACTGAATAACCAGCCCACAAAGCAGCTGCCACCACAAAAATCCGCTTATCTGTTGGAGTCTCCAACTCCTGATAGAAAGGGGGTAGACAGACGGAAGCTACTGCCAGCCCATCTAAAAGCCTGAGCGTAAGTAGCTGCTCTTGTCTCAGGAAGGGGAAACTGTACACCAGAGCACAGGCTGTGTAACTGCAAAAACCTGGATACCAATCCTGGGTCTACCTCTCATTGGCTATGTGGCTTTGAGTAATTTCTATAACCTATGTCTCAGTTTCCTCATCTGTAAAAACAAGTCTAGTAATACACCCTTGCGTGCTAATGAGACATCTCAAAATTCTCAGCAAAGTGGAAACAAAGCAAATGTCCAATGATGACTGCTGCTAGTGTTACTGGTAACAAGCTCATGGTCTGGGGGCGATGAGAAGCAGGGTCTATTTTAGGGGTATTGCCAGGGGAGGGGAGCTACTTACCATATCGCTGACTGGTTTCACTGTGTGATCAAAGCCCACACAGTTCTCATCCACCATGCGCAGGGCCTTCTGGAAGGCCTCCTCAAATGAACGCCCAATGCCCATGACTTCACCTGGAAGAACAGAATGGAAGGAATGAAGGTGTGGAGGTGGAAGGGGTGGGAAGAAGGCACTGCCCATAATGCTTATGGTTTATAGTCAAGACTCTGGGAGATTCTCAAGGCAAGTCACATGATGGTGGGATTCATGGTGTTTCACAACTAAGAAATCTTAATGGCCGGGCGCAGTGGCTCACGCCTGTAATCCCAGCACTTTGGGAGGCTGAGGCGGAAGGATCACGAGGTCAGGAGATCGAGACCATCCTGGCTAACATGGTGAAACCCCGTCTCTACTAAAAATACAAAAAAATTAGCCGGGAGTGGTGGCGGGCGCCTGTAGCCCCAGCTACTCCAGAGGCTGAGGCAGGAAAATGGCGTGAACCCGGGAGGTGGAGCTTGCAGTGAGCAGCGATCACACCATTGCACTCCAGCCCGGGGAACAAAGCGAGACTCCGTCTCAAACAAAACAAAACAAACAAACAAACAAAAAGAAATCTTAACTTATAGCTCTTTTCCCTGCTATTTTCATGGATAAGCTCAGGCTTTGTGCTTATTGATGAATATGGAATCAATATGCCTAAAACGGGCATGGGGATACTGGAATATATCCCCATACACTGGATACTGGAAGTTTATCACAGTGGCCCAAACCACTGATGGCTGTCCAGTTATTGGGTTTGATTTATTCACATAATCATAACACCAACTGGAATTCTTTAAAACTTTTTAAAAAAGTGTAGATAATAGGAAGATGATCCTTACTACTCATCCATGCAGAGCAAATCACATTTACAACAATCATTTTAGAGTTTCTCTTTCTGGACTTTTCTTCATAGGTTCATAGGTTTTTTTTTTTTAGATGGACTTTCGCTCTTGTTGCCCAGGCTGGAATGCAATGGCACGGTCTCGACTCACTGCAACCTCTGCTTCCTGGGTTCAAGAGATTCTCCTGCCTCAGCCTCCTGAGTAGCTGTGATTACAGGTGCGTGTCACCATGTCTGGCTAATTAGAGACGGGATTTCACCATGTTGGCCAAGCTGGTCTCAAACTCCTGACCCCGTGATCCACCCGCCTCGGCCTCCCAAAGTGCTGGGGTTACAGGCGTGAGCCACCGTGCCGGGCCCTTCATAGGTATGTTTTACATATCATCACAGCATACATATAATTTCCATCCTGTGTTTTTTCCTCATCATACATTTTCCCACATTGCCACATGGCCTCATCAACACCAACTTAATTCTTTCTTGAGACGGAGTTTCTCTCATCACCCACGCTGGACTGCAATGGCATGATCTCAGCTCAGTGTAACCTGTG
Organism: Homo sapiens; assembly: GCF_000001405.40. NCBI lineage: Eukaryota > Metazoa > Chordata > Mammalia > Primates > Hominidae > Homo > Homo sapiens. The sequence goes on along the minus strand of NC_000002.12, from coordinate 27,230,168 downwards.
CCTCCTGGGTTCAAGTGATTCTCCTGCCTCAGCCTCCCAAGTAGCTGGGATTACAGGCACCTGCCACCATGCCTGGGTAATTTTTGTATTTTTAGTAGAGACGGGGTTTCACCATGTTGGCCAGGCTGGTCTCGAACTCCCAACCTCAGGTGATCCACCTGCCTCGGCCTCCCAAAGTGCTGGGATTACAGGCGTGTGCCACTGCGCCCAACCAACTAACTTAATTCTTGTATGATCTGCCATAATTTAACTACTAACTGAAGGACATTTAGCTTTTTTTTTTTTTTTTTTTCTGAGACGTAGTCTCACTGTGTTGCCCAGGCTGGAGTCAGTGGTGCAATCTCAGCTCACTGCAACCTCTGCTTCCTGAGGTCAAGCGATTCTCCTGCCTCAGCCTCCTGAGTAGCTGGGACTACAGGTGCGTGCCACCATGCCTAGCTAATTTTTGTATATTTTCTAGAGATGGGGTTTCACCATATTGGCCAGGCTAGTCTCAAACTCCTGACCTCATGATATGCCCACCTCACCCTCCCAATGTGCTGGGATTACAGGCATGAGCCACCGCGCCCGGCCCATTTCGCTTTTAAGTGTTTACAATTAGGCAGTCCTGGTGGCTCTCACCTGTAATCCAACACTTTGGAAGGCTGAGGCAGAAGGATCACCTAAGGCAGATTGAGACCAGCCGGCACAACATAGTGAGACCTCCCTCTCTACAAATAATAATTAAAAAAAAAAATTAGCAAGGTGTGGTGGTGTACACCTGTAGTCTCACTCCTCAGAAGGATGGGGTGGGAGATTACTTAAGCCTAGAAGATCCAAGCTGCAGTGAGCTAAGTCACACCATTGCACTCCACCCTGGGTGACAGAATAAAACTCCGTATTAAAAAAAAAAGTTTTCATAATTATAAGTTAGGCTGTGATGTTTTCTTTCTTTTTTAACGAGACAGGGTCGGCCGGGCATGGTGACTCATGCCTGTAATCCCAGCACTTTGGGAGGCCGAGGCAGGCGGATCACGAGGTTAAGAGATCGAGACCATCCTAAGCAGTATGATGAAACCCCCGTCTCTACTAAAAATACAAAAATTAGCTGGGCGTGGTTGTGCGCGCCTGTAGTCCCAGCTACTCAGGAGGCTGAGGCAGGTGAATCGCTTGAACCTGGGAGGCAGAGGTTGCAGTGAGCCGAGATAGCACCACTGCACTCCAGCCTGGCGACAGAGGAAGACTCTGCCTCAAAAAAAAAAAAAAAGAAAAAAAAAAAAGAAAAGAAAAAAGAGACAGGGTCTCGGCCAGGCACAGTGGCCTGTAATCCCAGCACTTTGGGAGGCCAAAGGTGGGTGGATCACCTGAGCACGGGCGTTCAAGACCAGCCTGACCAACAGGGAGAAACCCTGTCTCTATTAAAATACAAAATTAGCCAGGCGTGATGGCACATGCCTGTAATCCCAGTTACTCTGGAGGCTGAGACAGGAGAATCACTTGAACCCAGGAGGCAGAGATTGTGGTGAGCCGAGATCACACCATTGCACTCCAGCCTGGGCAACAAGAATGAAAATCCGTCTCAAACAAACAAACAAACAAAAAAGACAGGGTCTTAGCCTGGCACCCAGACTGGAATGCAGTGGTACAATCACAGCTCACTGCAACCTTGAACTCGTGGGCTCAAGCGATCCTCCCACCTGAGCTTTCCAAAGTGCTGGGATTAATTACAACCACCGTGCCTGGACTGGATATGATGTTTTCTGTTTTGGATAATCTCCTTAGGATAAATTTCCAGATATGTAGAGGCAATAGGTAACACAAATTTTATAGCCCTTGATGAGTACGAATAACTTTATAGAAGTCTGTGCTTCATAATACAAAGTTTAAGCAACCTTCTAAGAAGTGGGCATAAACAGAGTCTCATTTAACTAGATTTCTATTTACTAATGAGAGGAACCGTCTTTTCTCTAGGTTTGCTTATTGATTTCTTCTTCTGTAAAGTGTTGTTCATCTCCTCTGACTATTTACTCTAGGGGCTTAAGTATTTCTTACCAAGTGTATTTTTCTATTTACAATCCTAACATTTACATTTCTTTAAAAAAGTTTTAAAAACACTACGATGTTAACAGTAGTGTGACTGATTTTGTTCAATTTCTTTGTAACTGTGGTTGTAAGACTTTTTATTTTGAGATTTGTTAAAAAAGGAGAAGCCTAATACATGCATACACATATGCCTAGAAATGTATGCAGTCGTAGATACACGGCTGAATTATGCAGTCGCAGATACACGGTCGAATTAATCAATCTCTGTAAGGCAAGATTACAGGTGACTACTGTTCTTTGGTTAAACTATCTTTCCTCGTTTTCCATGATTCATGTTTCTTACTTGTATAATAAAAGTTACAAAAAGTTACCAAAGAAGACCACATTCCAAGAATACTTGAACAGATGTAAAACAATTAAATGTCTCATCTAGGAACCAATCTTTCATTGGCCTATTTTCAATCCACTTCTTTTTGCCACAATTTAATTATGGCTTCATTCCCATGTTTATTCTAATTTTCATATAACAGAGATTCATCTCCAGAAGGAAAAAATTGGCAGTCTTGCAGAATTTCTAAAAATTCTGAAATAATATCTGAGCTTAGACTTACTTGTTTAAAGGCCACTACTGCTCTAAATGGAAATCTGGAGCACCACAAAATGCTCTTATCCATCAGGCTGGTGGCGCTGTGTCTGGTACACGTATATTTTTGTTTTGGTTGAAATGTGTTAGAGGACGGTCTTCGGCAACTAAAGGGATACCACAAAGAAACATACTAACTCAATTCTAACATGCTCTGCCACTGCTGGGTAACGTTACGGCCATTCATCATTCACTAATAAATTTCCTTGTTACCAAAAAGGTTTATGATGCCCTGCTCTGATGTAAACATCATACTAAAAAAAAAGGTCATTTAGTGACCAAAGCACAAAGTGCCAGAGGAGGAGATACTGCAAAAATGAGATGAGATAGTCTGATGGCTTGCACCTATCCCAGAGATTCTGTATTCCAACACAGATTTCCAGATGCCTCCCCAACTCCTGACAAGGACTATAATCTTAGTTTGAAATGTCTCAAGCACCTGCTCCCATAGGACGTAAAAGGCCATGCCAGGGAACTCTTGACATTTAAGATTCTTGGTCATGGTGGGGCCCCATGGGGGTGCCCAGGGCATGAGTCTCACCAACGCTCTTCATGCAGCTCCCAATCTTTGTGCTGACTCGCAGGAACTTGCTAAGGTCCCATCGAGGAATCTTCACCACACAATAATCCACGCTGGGTTCAAAGGCTGCTGTACCCCCTGTCACAGAGTTCCTGGGGTCCAGCAGGTGGGATGCCAGAAGGACAGTGAAGGAAGCATAAAGGGTGAGCTTCCGGATAGCTCTTTCCATTCCCACAAATCCAGGCCAATGTCCTTTTCATATTCCCTGTCCCATCAATATTTTCCTCAGCCCCCGACCCACTTCCCCACTGTGATATCTCCCTCATCCTCGTACCTGAGCTCAGGCAAAGGGATGCCCAATGCTAGCTTGGCTGCCACATAAGCCAGTGGATAACCTGTGGCCTTACTGGCCAGGGCAGAGCTGCGAGAGAGCCTGGCATTCACTTCAATGATGTAATACTGCAAAGAAGGAGAATAAAGTCACTGGCCTAGAAGACCCTGTCTAGGAGAGGTCTCAGAAAGGAGAGAAAAGTAACCTAGTAAAGAAGATTCCAGCTTGTACTCCAGGGACTGTAAGCCCAAAAGACCTCAACCTCAAGGGCCAAAAATTATACAAGAAGAGGGGGTAACAACTAGACTATCAGTTCCAGGGCCTAGAGCTTACCTGCTCAGACTCAGGGTTCAAGGCATACTGCACATTGCACTCCCCAACAATTCCCAGGTGCTGGGTCACCTTGATAGCTGTCTGCCTCAGGAGCTGATACTCCCTGTCATTCAGTGTCTGGCTAGGGGCCACCACTATGGACTCACCAGTGTGGATGCCCAGTGGGTCCAAGTTCTCCATGTTACACACCTGTGAAGGGGGGTGCCATGGAGGTCACTGCCAAGCAGAGTCAGGAGAGGCAGAAGGCTGCACCCCAGGGTCCTGTTACCTCTGGGGCTGCACCTAACCTGGGTCTGAGGGACATACAACTCTCAAAGACCTTGGCCTGGGCCTCTGCTCTTCCAAAAGCTCATCCTGCCTGACACGACGCCCACCCTTCCCCCATTCACTCACCGTGACACAGTTGCCATAGGCGTCTCTCACCACCTCGTACTCAATCTCCTTCCATCCCTTCAGAGACTTGTCTACTAGCACTTGGCTGGTATGGGCAAAAGCTGGGGCCACGAGAGCAGAGAGCTCCTCCCTGTTAGAGGCAAAGCCAGAGCCCAGGCCACCCAGGGCAAAGGCTGCACGCACTAGCACAGGGTACCCCAGCCGTTCAGCGGCTGCCTGGGCCTGCAATGAGTGGAAGAGATGAACAAACAGGTTATTTCCTACTGTCCAAGGTGTGCCTGTCCCACATAAAAAAAGATATAAAGAAAATAACATGGCTGGGCATAGTGGCTCACGCCTGTAACCCCAGCAATTTGGGAGGCCGAGGGTCGGGGGGGTGGATCACCTGAGGTCAGGAGTTCGAGATCAGCCTGACCAACATGGAGAAACCCCGTCTCTACTAAAAATACAAAATTAGCTGGGCATGGTGGCGCATGCCAGTAATCCCAGCTACTCAGGAAGCTGAGGCAGGAGAGTCGCTTGAATCTGGGAGGTGGAGGTTATGATGAGCCGAGATCACGCCACTGTACTCCAGCCTGCGCAACAAGAGCGAAACTCCGTCTCAAAAAAAAAAAAAAAAAAAAGAAAATAACACTACCAAAAAAAACACCACCATTCTTCCTTTACCCAAACACCCCTCCAACCTGTTCAAGAGAATTTGCTGCCTCGCTCGGGGCCACATGCTCTCCGATCTCTGCCATTCTGGCAGCAAAGGCCCGTCGATCCTCGGTCAGCTCAATGGTCTCCACTGGTGTGCCCAGGACCCGGACCCCATACCGAGCCAGCACCCCGGCCTTGGTCAGCTCCACACCACAGTTCAGAGCAGTCTGGCCCCCAAAAGTCAGTAACACACCATCGGGGCGTTCATTACGTATCACCTGAGGATGGAGAGGGGAGTTACAGGCATCAGAACCTTGTGGGTAGAGAGGCAATCAAAGTTTAATAACCCACAGTGACCACTGGGCCCCCCTGCCCAGTCCTCTTTTCATTCCAGCCTTGCCCCAGTCATACCTGGGTTACATAATGAGGTGTTATGGGAAGAAAATAGACCTTGTCGGCCAGCCCCTGGGAGGTCTGCACTGTGGCAATATTGGGGTTGATCAGCAACGTCTGGATGTTTTCCTCCTTCAGGGCCTTAATTGCCTAAAAGGACAAGAATGGCATCTCAGCCTCTGCTGAAGAAGCAAAATTGCAAACAGCCTTAGAGTAGCATTCTCCTCTTCTTTCCCTCCCTGTACTCTTGGCCCCTAATAATTGACTTCTATTTCTTACTACATCTTTCTCTACATTCCCCAAATCTGGTTCATTTCCTCCCTGCAACCTTAGCCCTTCTCCTTAAGACCCTTTCCATTCTTGAGGGTCACACGCCCAGAAGGGTGGGGAGGAACATGCCTCACCTGAGAGCCCGAGTAGTCAAATTCTCCAGCTTGGCCAATGGAGAGGCCCCCTGAGCCCAGGATCAGAACCTTTCGTGGTGGTGGAAGTCCAGAGCCGGGAGTGGGAATCCCAGGGGGACAGAGGCGCTCAGTCAGCCGCTCTCTAACTGTGGAAGCAAAGAAGGTCGTAGAATGTTAGAGCTGAGCTGGACCCAAGAGGTCAACTGGATTAGCTCCCTCGCTTTCAGAAGAGTCCAGAGCAAATTATGCACCTCAGGAGGAGCAGAGGGAGGACCAGAACCCAGGACCCTGGAGTTCCTTTCAACAGAAGCTTAAACGGTATCTTGGGTTGGTTGCCACCCATCCCCAATACCCTTAACCTCCTAGACATCTAGGAGTTGCCCAGGGCATGTCCACCTTATGCCCATCCTGGAGCCAACCCTGTTCTTAGGTCCACAACCCAGTTCTACTCAGGATCTTACCTGTCTGGCCCCCAGGGTTCCCAGCTGTGGCCTCTTTCACAGTTTCCAGAAAGATATCGAAAAGCAGTTCCATATCTGAAGGGCCAGCTTGGTGCTCTGGGTGAAACTGGACACTATTGAAGAGATTGCATCATGAAAACCATCATGGTCCCTGGCATGACACTGGCAGCCTCGAGGTGGGTAGTGGGACAGGGGACTCGGATCCACTGCCGTGCTTTACTTTTCCATCATCAAGGCCCACAGGGCTTCAAATTTTCACAGACCCAGTCAACCAGGCTCACCTGAAGAAAGGCAAGCTGTTGTGCACAATGCCTTCATTGGAACCATCATTGGCGTTGGTGAAGAGAGGAGCCCAGTCTGCTGGCAGTGAGTCTGTCTCCACAGCAAACCCATGGTTCTGGGATGTCAGAAAGCAGCGCCCAGAGCCCACCAACAAGCAGGGCTGGTTATGGCCTCGGTTCCCATATCTGGAGGTAGAAGCATGCCGAGTCACAGGCCCTGCTCACCCTCTCTTCACTACTGAACCTACCCCAGCTCTCACCGATCTCCTGTTCTCAGTAGCCTCACTCCTGTTTCCTTTTTGTTTTTTTTTTTTTTTTGAGACGGAGTCTCCCTCTGTTTCCCGGGCTGGAGGGCAATGGCACGATCTCCGCTCACTGCAACCTCCACCTCCCAGGTTCAAGCGATTCTCCTGCCTCAGCCTCTGGAGTAGCTGGGATTACAGGCGCACGCCACCATGGCTGGCCAACTTTTGTATTTTTAGTAGAGACAGAGTTTCACCATGTTGGCCAGGCTGGTCTCGAACTCCTGACCTCCAGTGATCCGCCCACCTTGGCCTCCCAAAGTGCTGGGATTACAGGTGGGAGCCACCTCACCTGCAACCCCCCCGCTCCTATTTCAACACGAATAAACACCAACTCTCTTCTCATTCCTGAGACACCCCACCCCTCATGCCACAAGTATGGGCCCCTTCTGCTCCCCACAAGTCCCACCTCATCTTGTAAGTCTTGGCCCCAATGGCTAAGGCCAATAGCTGGTGTCCCAGGCAGATCCCAAAGACAGGTCGGGGATTAGGCTCAGATAAAACACGGCTCAGTGTGGATACGACACTGGGATAGGAGGCAGGGTCACCAGGCCCATTACTTAAGAAGAGACCCTCATACTCTGGAGTGGGCAGAAAAGATGACATCAAAATCAGTATTTCAATTACAGGAGACACACCTGCAGCCCCCCCAGCCCATGAGAGTGTTAAGTCCCAATGTCTATCTTCTTCACTGCAACTCCTACTGACTTTTAGCAATTGGACCAAGGGATAGATCTTCCACCCAAGCTGCTTGTCTGAGGCCCTGAACAGGCCCCAGCTACTCACCTTGGCTGTCTAGTGCATGGTCCCAGGGTACCACAGTGACCTCAGCCCCACGCTGGCAGAGGCATCGGATCTGATTATACTTGAGGCCACAGTCCAAAGCAAGGATCCGAGGGGCACCCCCTGTATTGAATACCCGTGGAGTCTGAGAAATAGACGAATAAAGGGCAACAGTTGGCAGCTGTGCTCAGTGGGTATAAGATATGCCTGCACCAACTCCTACCTTCAAAGCCTCCTTTGATTCTCTCCTGTGTTCACCCCCCAATTGTGGGCAGAATATAACTACTGTGCTAGAGCTTGCAACACTCTCCCACTCTACCTCTGTACCTTAATGGAGACCTCTGGTACCAGGGGGCGGGCATTGGGGTCCAAGAATGGCAGGGATGAAGGTTCTGTTCCATTCTGGACCAGCTTCCCCAGCAGAGACCCCTGTTCCCGCAACTTCTTGGTCAGCTCCCGAGTGTCTACTCCTGTCAAAATAGCACAGTCTTAGGGATCACATTCCTACAACTCAGTCATCTGTGAGGTTAGACTTCCAGAAGCACTTCCATTCCAGAGCCCCAGTCACACACAGCTGTTCTATGTGCATCAAAATCCTGGGCCATTGTGACAGAAGTATACTACCATGAAGTATTCCTGCCAAAAATATCACATCTGAATTGAACAACTCTAAATCTATCCATTTATAGAAAATAATATAAAGGGAAAAAAAGAATACGCTAAGTAACACTACAGGAGTGTAACCAAGTAAGTGCAGACTATGGGATACTAGATACAGGAAAAATGACCTGTTTTCAAATAGGTTACAAGGTCCACAGATTAAGAGACTTATCAACCAAATGCAATGTGTGAACCCTGTTTAGAGCAAGATTCAAATGAACAGAAAAAAAAAAAAAAAAAAAAAAAAAAATTGGGAAATTTTAAACATTGCCTGGACACTTGTATTAGGGAATTATTAATTTTTTTAGTGTATGACGTTATTATGATCATGTTTTTTAAAGATTCCTTTTGCATAGATATTGAACTATTTGTAGATGAAATGATATGATGTCTGAGATTTGCATCAAAATAATCCAGTGGTGGTGATGAAATAAGATTAGCCCTAAGCTGATGATTATGGAAGGTGGGAGTTCCTTCCTGTGTTGGAAATTTTCTTTCTGAGTGATAGTTCAATTCTTTCTCCCAGCCCAACTCCAATCTAAACCTTCCAACTATCACAATCTTAGAGTCAGGTCCCAGCAGATTACAGAAACCTTGATTCTTTCCATCCAGGCATGCTGTGCTCTGCCCAAATATGCCCCTGCTTGCCACCATACCTTGCAAGCCAGGGATGCCATGCTGCTGCAGCCACTCATGCAGGGTGCGGGTGGCACTCCAGTGGCTGGGAGTAGGACAGCACTCTCCCACTACCAGTGCTGCTACGTGGATGCCCGAGGATTCAAACCACTGTAGATGGAAAGAGATTGTGAGAAGCCTCAGGCCAAGTTATTTCTTTGCAGCATTTTCCCGATTGTGTGGCCACAGACCCTATATTCAGCCACATTGAATGGCCTTCAATATACCAAACTTTTGGTGCTTTTGCATAGGTATTTCCATTTACCAACAACGCTCTCTCCTATACGAAACACAACCCACAGGCCCAGGGTGCCCCGATGATCACTGAAAATGACATTTTCCTTTTTATTTATTTATTATTTATTTTTTTTGAGACAGAGTCTCACTCTGTCACCCAGGCTGCAATGCAGTGGCGACATCTAAGCTCACTGCAACCTCTGCCTCCCGGATTCAAGCAATTCTCTTGCTTTAGCCTCCCGAGTAGCTGGGACTACAGGCGCCCGCCACCACACCCGGCTAATTTTTTGTATTTTTAGTAGAGACGGGGTTTCACCATGTTAGCCAGGATGGTCTCAGATCTCCTGACCTTGTGATCTGCCCACCTCAGCCTCCCAAAGTGCTGGGATTACAGGAGTGAGCCATCGCACCTAGCCATTCCTTTTTTTTTTTTTTGAGACAGGGTCTTGCTGTTATCCAGGCTGGAGTGCAGAGTACAGTGGCACAAATACACGGTTCACTACAGCCTCAATCTCCTGGGCTCAAGTGATTCTCCCACCTCAGACTCCTGAGTAGTTGGGACCACAGGTGTGGATCATCACACCTGGCTAATTTTTTGAATTTTTTGTAGTGACAGCGTCTCACCATGTTGCCAGGCTGCTCTCAAACTTCCTGGGCTCAAGCGATCCCCCCACCTCAGCCTTCCAAAGTGCTGGGATTACAAGTCATGAGCTACCGCGCCCCGCCTCTTTCTTCCTTTATCTAAAACTGAAATCACAAATCCTTTCTCTGTGAAGCCCCTCCCACTCACCCAATACAGCTTGTGCCTCCATCTTAGAGCTGTTTTAATACTTTATTTCCTCTCTTGCTATTTACGTCATATGATGAATATGTATTTGTGTCTTTGTCACGAAACAGAGAACTCAAGAGCAAGGCACATGGTGTCAGTCAGACATTTATTGAGGTGCAGGCATTGCAAAAGATGCTGAGAAAAGAGCAATGAGCAAAAAAAGATGAGGTTCCTGTCTTCATGATGTTTATTTCTGACTTAGGGAGCTAGAAAACAAGGTAACACCCATATAAATATTAATTATAGAGTGTGATTAAAAACTGAGTAAGATAGGGAGGTACAAAATACCCCATTACCAAATAAAAAACAAAGGTTCAGGGCACAATACTAAGCATGCCTCCCAAACTTCATTTGGGATTATTTAAAAAAGAAAAGGCCAGGCGCGGTGGCTCACGCCTGTAATCCCAGCGCTTTGGGAGGCCGAGGTGGGCAGATCACCTGTGATCGGGAGTTCAAAACCAGCCTGACCAACATGGAGAAACCCTGTCTCTACTAAAAATACAAAATTAGCTGGGAATGGTAGCCCATGCCTGTAATCCCAGCTACTCGGGAGGCTGAGGTGGGAGAATAGCTTGAACCCGGGAGGCGGAGGTTGCAGTGAGCCAAGGTTGCCCATTGCACTCCAACCTGAGCAACAAGAAAGAAACTCTACCTCAAAGCAAAATAAAAATAAAAAAAAATTAAATAAAAAAAGATAACATACAAGCCTGGGCAATGTGACAATACCCGGTCTCTACAAAAAATACAAAAAAAGTAGCCAGGCATGGCGGCAGGTGCCTGTAGTCCCAGCTACTTGGGGGGTTGAGGTGGGAGGACTACTTGAGCTCAGGTGGCAGAGGCTGCAAGTGAGCCATGATTATGCCACTGCACTCCAGCCTGGGTGACAAAGTGAGACCTTGTCCCCAAAAAAAAAACAAAAACCATAAACTTGTTACTCAATAGATAAGCGTTTAATAGCTACATAGAAACAGAAAGTTTATGTGGGAGGGATCAGCATATTTAAACTGCATTCAGCTGGGTGATGAACAGTTTAAGGAACCTGCATTCTGAGACTGTCCAGGGATCTGAAGGATAGTTTGGCAGAACCCTCCCTGGCCAGGTGGAGTAATCCATTTATATGTGCGAGTGGCTCCAAGAGGCCTTTCCCACCCTGATCCTAATCAGGCCTCAATTTTGTAGTTTTATAAACTCAATTTAGTCAGTGTGTCTAGAGTTGACAAAGGTGATGACTGACAAAGGTTAACCAAATTCACAAGAATTCACTATCAACTAGAATGCAGTGTATTTGTAGGTTTGTGATGAACCTAGAAATTCTTTTCCAGGAAGAACAACATGTACGTCCTTTATCCGGAGCTCACTCTCCCCAGCGTCAGGGTGGCTGGGAAGGCAAATTAAGAATTAAAGGCTTACACCTGCAGTGAGGCCAAACAAATTTTGAGAGATACTACTCTAGGCCAGATTGACTTCCTCTATTACCTTAATTACTATATGTTGGGTTTTTTTTAATGCTTGAACTGTCAGAGGGCAACTTAGTTTCCAAATTTCAGAGGTGAAGGAATAGGGGAAACCTCACTGTAGGAAGAAACTCAGTTTTCTCACCTAGAGGTAAGAACACAACTGAAAAGCAGAGAATCAGACGAGGCCATGTCAGTAGGTCTAGAAGATAATGTCACTGGTTTTGTAGGTAAACTGGCACTCACTGTCACAGAGAAGTATGTGACCCTAGTTTCCAGTCTCTTTCCACTAATTTATGTAGTCCTAAAAAGCACTGCTCCCATCTGACTCTGCTGCTAAAAAAAAACCTTCAATGGATCCTTTACCAAACTAAGCTGACTCTGCTTTGGCTTCAGGTCCCTCCATGCCCACCGGATTTAACTTATCTGCAGGCTTTTTTCTCCTGACTTCTGCATGCCTAACAAGTTGGACAAGGCTGTTCCCTTACACCTCTTTTACTTTTCCTTGATCCATGCCTTCACTACATACAGAATGCTTTCAGCTATACCTGGAGCCTTGATGCCCTTAACAAAGGCGGTAGCTTTTTCCTGAGGCCTCCAACACTCTGTGCCTCCCAAGGCACTTAACAACCCCTAACTACAGTTACTAGTGATCTTAGTCCTTGACTTTACTACTTCAGTGGGTATGTTTTCTGCAGGATGCCCAGCAGGGTGTCAACGTCTCCTACTTCACTAATAGTTAACAATTACTGACTTGAAAAGGAATGTAGAGAAAGCACTGGGTGTGGCTACCTTGCAGAGACCGAACTCATCCATTTCATCTGGGGGGATGCCATAGTTGCCGATCAGAGGATAGGTGAGCACTAAGATCTGTGCCTTGTAGGAGGGATCAGTGAGGGCCTCGGGGTAGCCGACCATGCCGGTTTGAAACACTGCAAGAAAGAAGCAGGGCTGGGCTCCGGTAGGGCACCCTTCGGAACACTCCCCGCGCGATGAGCACGCCCCAGTGGAGGCTGCCTTGGTCGCGAGGGGTTTATGGCGCTGGGGCCCATGGGCACCGAATGGGGGAAGGGGGTACGCTGGCGGGAAAATGGCGGGGTCTGGACGGGGAAGGTTGGGAGGAGAGGCGCATCACAGAGTGGGATAAGGTCTGCAGCCTAACCGGGCTTGCTTACCCACTTCCCCGGCAGTCGACACGGCGGCCCCAAAGGGCTGGCCCCGCAGGACCGACCCGTCCTCCAACACTAGGGCCGCCATGGGAAGGGAGCTCAGAGGCGGGGGCGAGTACGGAGAAGCGGGAAGGACTGCAAACTCCACTGGAACCACGTGAGGACGGCGCGCCGGAGTCGGTCCACGTGGCTAACGGCGCGGGGCGCTGGAGAGAAGCCGGGCGCGGCAGCGTAGGAGCCTCGGGCGCGCTTGGCGGCAGCAGCAGAGACTGCGGCGGCGCGGACACAGGCGGCGTGAGGGGCGGGGCCGGGCACGTAAGGGGCGGGGTCCGCGGAGCCACGGGGAGTGGGCCCCCGTGGTCTCCGCACTGCAAAACCGGGGGAAACCTGAAAAAACCGGCTGCCCTAAAGCAGTCCCTCCCACCCCAAGCAAGAAACACGTAAAGGCAGGGCGCCTTTCCTTAAAAAGAAAGAGAGGAAAAAAAAAGAAAAAAGTGTTTATTATAGGCAACAACACCAATGGGAACTGGTATTTGTCTACACCAAGGGAGTGCAATTTTTCATCTTCCAATGGCGGCCTCAACCTTGAGGCGAATCCACTGGCGAAAGATGCCTTTCTAGGAAGCAGAGCTCCCTGACTGGGCTAAGATAGTTCAGATTGATCTTAGGTCAATGGTAAGACCTATGTAGTTCATGAAGTCTTGGCTTTTCGGCGCTGGGTCGCCCAAAGCAGAATGGAGACGGATAGAGTGGTGGCTCCCAGAATCCCGAAGAACATAAGCAGTGAGAACGAGCCCTGTGAACAACAGACCAAAAAACACCCCCATACAACGTTACACGGAGGGCCACATCCTAACACCTAGTTCTTTCCTAATATACCTATCACTTTGTCTAGGGCAATTCTATAGTTTTCCACCTATAGGAAATTTGTATCAGCTCCTGGTCTTGTGGCTCTCCTTTCTGAGAAGACTTGCTCTATGCATTCCTTGTATCCCTAGTTAGACGGCCTAATTCCTCACCTGGCGCATACACTTGTATCCATGGAAACCATCAGCACAAACACACTGCAAAAGACCTGGACCATCAGGTACACAAGATCCATTCTCAGGACACATTTCTGGAGGCCAGAGAGAAATAGAGAACATCACTTTATCCATTTCATTAGGCATATTTCTCAATTATCTGTTTCAACTTAGATTCTCTCAATCATTGCTAGGATAAAGGAAGAAGAAAGAAAATTACAGATAAAAACAGTAACAATAATGTCAGGCCTCTGAGCCCAAGCTAAGCTATCATATCCCCTGTGACCTGCACGTATACATCCAGATGGTCTGAAGCAACTGAAGATCCACAAAAGAAATGAAAATAGCCTTAACTGATGACATTCCACCATTGTGATTTGTTTCTGCCCCACCCTAACTGATCAATATACTTTGTAATCTCCCTTACCCTTAAGAAGTTTCCTTGTAATCTCTCCCACGCTTAAGAAGGTTCTTTGTAATTCTCCCCACCCTTGAGAATGTACTTTGTAAGATCCATCCCCTGCCCGCAAAACAGCACTCCTAACTCCACTGCCTACCCCAAAACCTGTAAGAACTAATGATAATCCCACCACCCTTTGCTGACTCTCTTTTTGGACTCAGCCCACCTGCACCCAGGTGAAATAAACAGCCTTGTTGCTCACACAAAGCCTGTTTGGTGGTCTCTTTACACGGACACACGTGAGACAAATAATAGAGTATATCTTAAGATCTTTTCTTTCAAAGGGGTTATAGCCCCAGAACTCTGAATGAAAGGCGCTTAAGCAACTTTGTCTTTCTGATCTAAAGTGGAAAATACAAGGGAGAAAAGACAATTCCCAGAAGTTTGGAGGTAAGACAGCATACCTGGGTCCCCAGTGTTATTGCAAAGGTTCTTTTGCCCTTGACAGATTTGGTTGTCTATATAAGAGGTGATAGTATTCCAGGCATTAATTCCTCCAGGACAGTTGACATGTTGTGGCAGTATCCTATAGAGAAATGTGGTCATAACATGCAAAGTTGCTAAACTCACAGCATCATCCCTCTTTGATTCTCTTCCCATACCCTTACTCACAGAGTCTGGAGCTGAGTAAAGCCACGGAAGGTGTTGGCCAAGTCACCTTTGAGGGGGTTTGCTTGCAGGTCTCTGCAAAGTACACAATGTTAGCACTTTCGCATCAACCTACATTATATTAGCCTTTTGGGTGGGAGGTACCTAACTACTTACATGATGACAGTGGTATGTGCCT